>NC_000014.9:18523523-18712644 GCF_000001405.40 Homo sapiens | reverse complement strand
GAATTCTGGCCTGGCAACCTATAGCCCACCCGTGGGTCCGGTCAGTGAACATAAGGGTTCCATGATTTCAGTGATGTCCTCAGAGGGAAACGCAGATACACCTGTCAGCAAATATATGGATCAGCTGTTGTCGTTAATGGTGTGTAAGCTTGAGAAAGTGGGACTTCAAATACGGACCAATGATAAGGACCTGGTGGGTCTAGAATTGAGTCCTGCTCTTTATCTGATGCTATTTAACAAATTGAAGAAGACCCATCAGCAAGTTTTTTGACTCCTAAGGACAGGTAAAGTGTGCTCTTTTTTATTTTTCACCTTTCCCTATGAATAGAGTGACTTGTTTGAAATAATGAAGCCTTTTTCTTTCAGATTATTTAAATTAGGTACTCACAGTTTTTAAAAATTGTCAAAAAATTGTAGAAAGAAGAATCATCTCAATGAATGGTCAGCTTGCTTCTAGGAACTCTGATGTGTATGTGTGCCTGAGGGTATACGTGCCTTGTATATGGGTATGAGTGTCTGTGTATATCTGTGTGCCTGTTTGGCTGCGTGCCTGTGGGTGCATGTCTCTATTTGTGTGTTTAGATCAGTCAGTTTCATCTCTCTAGGGATCTGTCTTCTGGGCATTGATGGCAAATCATTAATATATTTGTTCTCTCTATAGGTTTTATTGACTGATACCAATACTCAATTTGTAGAGGAAACCCTAGCTATATTGAAGAACTTGCTAGATAATCATACTGAAGGCAGCTCTGAACATCTAGAGCAAGCTAGCATTGAAACAATGATGTTAAATCTGGTCAGGTAAGCCTTCTACTGAAATGTAGCAGAAACATACTTTAAGATTTAAGAGACAAGAAAAACCTCTCACACATTGATATTGATAGTAATTGATAAAATAATTTGCCATTCTTTACTGCACACAAACTAGGCTGTGACAACAAGGTAACCAGAAATTGTGTATGCTCTCCTATAAATAAATGTCTTACTGTTTTCAAACTTACGTTTAGTTCGTTTTATTTGATGGTTAAAGTATTTTGAATGCCTTATCTTGTGTCTGTATCTGATAACTTTTTTATTGTCTCTATGTCTGTATAGGTACGTTTGTGTGCTTGGGAATATGGTCCATGCAATTCAAATAAAAACGAAACTGTGTCAGTTGGTTGAAGTAACGATGGCAAGGAGAGATGACCTCTCATTTTGCCGAGAGATGAAATTTAGGTGAGTTCTCAAAAGAGCAATGTAGGGTCTTGTAAATCTTAATTTGTTGAATAAAGTACAGAAATAGAGTAGATATCTGGTTATTGGTAGGAAGAAAGACATAAAAAGAGAGCAGTTTACATGTTTGTTTTTCTCTGTGTCTCTCCTCAAATTTCCCTAAGCTTTGTGCCTGTGGCAAGCCTCCCTTTTTCTAAAACTCTGCTGTACTTGAGCTAAGAATTTGATTCTGTTTCCAATCTGATAGCATAACTAAAGGCCATGATGGAGGATCAGTATCCACGTTGCTTGTTCCTTCTGGCTTTTACATCTATGATAGCAGTATCTCTTTTATAAAGTCGTCATGTCACCTGGGTTATCTGCCAAATTATTTGCACCATAAGTAATCTTACATGACTGAAGGTGTGTGTGTGGGGGGGTATGACTTCAGAAAAATTGTGTGCTGTTTCTCTTTTCTCCACCATTCTATAGGAATAAGATGGTAGAATACCTGACAGACTGGGTTATGGGAACATCAAACCAAGCAGCAGATGATGATGTAAAATGTCTTACAAGGTAAAAAAAATGACTTTCAAATATTAGTGGGTTTTACTGTGAGAATTATAACTACTTCATTACAGCTTTATACTTGTATTTTATGTGTATTTAAACTTTTTAGATGTAAAACTTTTGTGTTCAAAATATGTAAAGACACTAATCTTTATTACTACTTTTTCTTGACCGATAGACTTTCAGGAAAAATAAATGTGCGAGAGCGGTATGTTTGGGAAGTTATTGTTGTCAGTTTATGAAGAATAGTCTACAGTTATTGGGAAATAAGATACATAAAGCCTCAGATTGCATTTATGTTATGATGAGATAGATAAAGGTATTATTTGAGAAACTCATTGTGTTGAGTCTAAGAAACAATTGATTTCCTGATTCAAACACCAGAGATAGACCAAAAAAGGAAGTAATTAAGTCTACTTTAATGATAAATACTTATTGACACATATCAGAAAGTGATTAAACACTATGGACTGTATAATAAGCATTTACATATGTTTCTTTGACAAAGCCTAGCTTTATAATACGGTCGTCTCTCAGTATCTGTCAGGGATTGGTTCCAGGAACCACCCCCCAAACTCCTGCCCACATCTCACTCCCATGAACACTAAAATCCACAGACTCAAGTCCCTGATACAAAATGTCATAGTATTTGCATATAAGCTATGCACATCCTCCCATATATTTTAAATATTTTTAGATTACTTATAATATCTAATACAATATAAATGTTATATAAATAGTTGTTATACCATATTGTTTAAGGAATAAAAACAAAGAAAAATCTGTACATGTTGAGTATTTGAAATCCAGGAGATTAGGTTCGACTTTCAATAAATGGTGTTGATAAAACTGAGTAATGATCTGGAAAAATATCTTCATACCATTTATGAGGATAAACTCCCATAAATCAAAACAGCATGGCAAAGCAAGGCCTTTTTCATCCATTCAAAATCCATAAGCTAGAAAGGAAAAGATTGATAAAATGAATTCATTCAAAAATCATAAACTTCTGTCTGGGACAAAAATGTCATGAGTAAAAACAATCCTATGGTTAATATCCTCGTCCGATAGTTCTCTTAGAATAGTCCTAAAAGTGCTTTTGTGGCTCAAAGAGCAATACCTTGAAATTTTTGGTGCATGTTGTCAGATTACCCTTTAGAATGCCTGTTGCTTTTAAAATATTTTTTATTTTAGTATTTTATTGTTTATCCAATTATAGACTATTTTACATACTCAGTAGACAACATAAAGCCTCAGAGGTACTCTGTTCTTTTTCTTTTAGGCATCAGGTACCTGAAAAAGAAGAGATCAAGGCTTTGAAAACGTTAAGTATTTTCTACCAAGCTGGGGCTTCCAAAGCTGGGAATCCTATTTTTTATTATGCTGCACGGGGTAAGAAATACTATGTTTGGTGTCTCCTCTCAACAGAATTTTTTAAACGATAGCAATTATAGAGATGGCAAGTTTGGTTTTTCATATTTGACTTAACAAGAATTGAAGACAAGTTTACCTGGGAGCATACAGTGGGTTAAATAGCCTGCCTTTCCTAAAATGGTGGTCAGTATCTAGTAACTGCTTTTCAGACTACCCATTTCATATTGGTTTCCCTGTCCTACATCATTTTTTAAAATACTGCCTACAATGGATTAATTACCAAGAGTTAAAAAACCACAAAGCATCTTTTGTTTTCAAGTATATTCTGATTAAATAGTACAACATGATAAGCGGGAACTTTTTTTAAAAGAAGAAATAAAACTGTAAGAGCCTGTTTCTGAGAACTTTTAAAAATATGCTGTGTAAGACAGCATCAGGGTGATTTAGAAAATAATTCAAAGGGGTGGTGGGAAATCATGAAGATGGTGCAAGGGGTGGCCTGGAAAATGATGCTTGTTCGTGCTGCCCTCAGTCGAGGCTGGTTCCTAGAAAGCCTTTCTGGAAATGTTGTGAGCTCTTCCTTAATAATAGATATGATGCTTGCATTGCCTTCCCTATCATTGTCTTTTTTTCTTGCCTCATTTTACCTTCCTTTTGAAAACTCTTCTGTGACTTTATTTGGTCCCATTTACCATAACATACATTCATGGTAATTGAGCCTTAGAGACAACATGATACGTATAGAGACCACTGATTTTGGAATCTCAAGGATCATGTTTAGACTTAGTTCTGCCAATCATTAGCTATAGACTTAATCTTTACTGGTTTCCTGGATTTAACAGTGTTTAACATCCATGACCGTTAAGTTAGTAGACGTACATTGTTAGTCAATTTGCTGGCCACAGGTGGCAGTGTGTAGGACACAAATTGAGGTTGAGAAATAGTGGAGAGGCGGTGAAGAATCAGTGGAAGATGGGAAACTTGTCTAATTAGGTCATTCATATAGCCTTAAGACCAAGAAGTCCAAAGGACTGGAGCATTAGGGAATCAAGAAAGTAAGAAAATTGTGTCAAAACTCCCCCTGCCCCCGCCCTTTAACAATTCTAAGTAACCCCTTCTCACCTTCCCATGAAAGGCCTCTCTCCAGCTCTCATCTCAGTTGCTATTTCTAAATTGCCTAAGATAATTTTAATTTTCTTTTTTCTTTGGATTTTAGCATTCTAATTTTTTTTTATTATTATACTTTAAGTTTTAGGGTACGCGTGCACAATGTGCAGGTTTGTTACATATGTATACATGTGCCATGTTGGTGTGCTGCATCCATTAACTCGTCATTTAACATTAGGTGCATCTCCTAATGCTATCCCTCCCCCCTGCCTCCACCCCACAACAGGCCCCAGTGTGTGATGTTCCCCTTCCTGTGTCCATGTGTTCTCATTGTTCAATTCCCACCTATGAGTGAGAACATGCAGTGTTTGGTTATTTTGTCCTTGTGATAGTTTGCTGAGAATGATGGTTTCCAGATTCATCCATGTCCTTACAAAGGACATGAACTCATCACTTTTTATGGCTGCATAGTATTCCATGGTGTATATGTGCCACATTTTCTTAATCCAGTCTATCATTGTTGGACATTTGGGTTGGTTCCAAGTCTTTGCTATTGTGAATAGTGCCACAATAAATATATGTGTGCATGTGTCTTTATAGCAACATGTTTTATAATCCTTTGGGTATATACCCAGTAATGGGATGGCTGGGTCAAAGGGTATTTCTAGTTCTAGATCCCTGAGGAATCGCCACACTGACTTCCACAATGGTTGAACTAGTTTACAGTCCCACTAACAGTGTAAAAGTGTTCCTATTTCTCCACATCCTCTCCAGCACCTGTTCTTTCATGACTTTTTAATGCTCACCATTCTAACTGGTGTGAGATGCTACCTCATTGTGGTTGTGATTTGCATTTCTCTGATGGCCAGTGATGATGAGCATTTTTTCATGTGTCTTCTGGCTGCATAAATGTCTTCTTTTGAGAAGTGTCTGTTCATATCCTTCGCCCACTTGTCAATGGGGTTGTTTGGTTTTTTTCTTGTAAATTTGTTTGAGTTCATTGTAGATTCTGGATATTAGCCCTTTGTCAAATGAGTAGATTGCAAAAATTTCTCCCATTCTGTAGGTTGCCTATTCACTCTGATGGTAGTTTCTTTTGCTGTGCAGAAGCTCTTTAGTTTAATTAGATCCCATTTGTCAATTTTGGCTTTTGTTGCCATTGCCATTGCTTTTGGTGTTTTAGACCTGAAGTCCTTGCCCATGCCTATGTCCTGAATGGTATTGCCTAGGTTTTCTTCTAGGGTTTTTGCAGTTATAAGTCTAACATTTAAGTCTTTAATCCATCTTGAATTAATTTTTGTATTAGGTGTAAGGAAGGGATCCAGTTTCGGCTTTGTACATATGGCTAGCCAGTTTTCCCAGCACCATTTATTAAATAGGGAATCCTTTCCCCATTTCTTGATTTTGTCAGGTTTGTCATAGATCAGATAGTTGTAGATATGTGGCATCATTTCTGAGGGCTCTGTTCTGTTCCATTGGTCTATATTTCTGTTTTGGTACCAGTACCATGCTGTTTTGGTTACTGTTGCCTTGTAGTATAGTTTGAAGTCAGGTAATGTGATGCCTCCAGCTTTGTTCTTTTGGCTCAGGATTGACTTCGCAATGCGGGCTCTTTTTTGGTTCCATATGAACTTTAAAGTAGTTTTTTCCAATTCTGTGAAGAAAGTCATTGGTAGCTTGATGAGGATGGCACTGAATCTATAAATTACCGTGGGCAGTATGGCCATTTTCACGATATTGATTCTTCCTACCCATGAGCATGGAATGTTCTTCCATTTGTATGTATCCTCTTTTATTTCATTGAGCAGTGGTTTGTAGTTCTCCTTGAAAAGGTCCTTCACGTCCCTTCTAAGTTGGATTCCTAGGTATTTTATTCTCTTTGAAGCAGCTGTGAATGGGAGTTCACTCATGATTTGGCTCTCTGTCTGTTATTGGTGTATAAAAATGCTTGTGATTTTTGCACATTGATTTTATATCCTGAGACTTTGCTGAAGTTGCCTATCAGCCTAAGGAGATTTTGGGCTGAGACGATGGGGTTTTCTAGATATACAATCATGTCATCTGTAAACAGGGACAATTTGACTTCCTCTTTTCCTAATTGAATACCCTTTATTTCCTTCTCCTGCCTGATTGCCCTGGCCAGAACTTCCAACACTATGTTGAATAGGAGTGGTGAGAGAGGACATCCCTGTCTTGTGCCAGTTTTCAAAGGAAATGCTTCCAGTTTTTGCCCATTCAGTATGATATCGGCTGTGGGTTTGTCATAGATAGCTCTTATTATTTTGAGATACGTCCCATCAATACCTAATTTATTGAGAGTTTTTAGCATGAAGGGTTGTTGAATTTTGTCAAAGGCCTTTTCTGCATCTATTGAGATAATCATGTGGTTTTTGTCTTTGGTTCTGTTTATATGCTGGATTACGTTTATTGATTTGCATATGTTGAACCAGCCTTGCATCCCAGGGATGAAGCCCACTTGATCATGGTGGATAAGCTTTTTGATGTGCTGCTGGATTTGGTTTGCCAGTATTTTATTGAGGATTTTTGCATCAATGTTCATCAGGGATATTGGTCTAAAATTCTCTTTTTTTGTTGTGTCTCTGCCAGGCTTTGGTATCAGGATGATGCTGGCCTCATAAAATGAGTTAGGGAGCATTCCCTCTTTTTCTGTTGATTGGAATAGTTTCAGAAGGAATGGTACCAGCTCCTCCTTGTACCTCTGGTAGAATTCGGCTGTGAATCCATCTGGTCCTGGGCTTTTTTTGGTTGGTAAGCTATTGATTATTGCCTCAATTTCAGAGCCTGTTATTTGTCTATTCAGAGATTCAAATTCTTCCTGGTTTAGTCTTGGGAGGGTGTATGTGTCGAGGAATTTATCCATTTCTTCTAGATTTTCTAGTTTATCTGCATAAAGTTGTTTATAGTATTCTCTGATGGTAGTTTGTATTTTTTAATTTTCTTTTGTACTTGAGATGAACCATATTTGCATTCTAACCCCAACCTTTAATACAACCAGGATGTTTTTACTTTCCCTTTTTTGTGTAAGTAGAAAGCAAACATTGGTGAGGAAGGTAGAAGATGTGTGTCCCCTCCTCTTTAATTTTTTTTTTTTTTTTGCGACAGAGTCTTGCTCTATCACCCAGGCTGGAGTGCAGTGGCTCGATCTTGGCTAACTACAAGCTCCGCCTCCCGGGTTCATGCCATTCTCCTGCCTCAGCCTCCCTAGCAGCTGGGACTACAGGCGCATGCCACCATACCCGGCTGATTTTTTGTATTTTTAATAGAGACAGGGTTCCACTGTGTTTGCCAGGATGGTCTCTATCTCCTGACCTCGTGATCCACCTGCCTCGGCCTCCCAAAGTGCTGGGATTACAGGCATGAGCCACCATGCCCAGTCTAAAATCTGACTAGTTTACAAATAGCAAAGATTTCTGGAAAACAAAGTTGGGTTGGTTTTTTTTTCAGGATCAGAAACTGTTATATTTGTATTCCTTCTCTGTGGTGATCTAGAAAAAGCTAAAGGAAAGCAGATTGGACCTGCTGTAGATACTTCAGTGAGATTCAATCAGTTCGGTTTCCGTGAAACCTGTTGAGTCTTGTGGCTTGAGAGTGCTAAGGATTCTCAGCTCTGCTGCTTATTAGCTGCATATTCTTTTTTTTTTTTTTTTTGAGATGGAGTTTCACTCTTGTTGCCCAGGCTGGAGTGCAGTGGCACGATCTTGGCTCACTGCAACCTCCACCTCCTGGGTTCAAGTGATTCTCCTGCCTCAGCCTCCTGAGTAGCTGGGATTACAGGCATGCACCACCACATCCAGCTAATTTTACATTATTAGTAGAGACGGGGTTTCACCACGTTGGCCAGGCTGGTCTCGAACTCCTGACCTCAGGTGATCTGCCTGCCTCAGCTTCTCAAAGTGCTGGGATTACAGGTGTGAGCCACCACACCTGGCTTTAGCTGCATAATCTTAGATAAGTTTATTTTTCCAAATCTGTTGCTTCATATGTTAAAGCTGGGGTGTGTGCTTATGAAAACTGTCCACCTCTCCTATGAAGTGTCTTGTGACCTATAAAGTTGTGTAAGGAGTAAATTGGAGATTTTCTTTTTTTCTTTCTTTCTCTTTCTGGGGGATATGGCACTGTCAGTTTCAGATTTTCAGTCCTTTTAGCTTCTTACTTAGACCTACTGGAGCTCCTCCTGGCCTTCATTTTCGCCTGGTGGGAAGCCTAGCTCCAGGACAGATGAGTACACAGTACATCAGGGCAGAGCATCCATTTACTCCATTATGAAGGTCTTGTCTGTCTATATGCCATCAGCTTTGTCAAAGAGCACTTGGGTTTGACTTGTCTTTTGATACTCCTGTGTTTCTGCGGCTTAGACTACCATGTATTAAGTGATGCTTTTTGAATTGCGGATTTTCCAATCTCCTCATAGATAGTCCGCAGACGTTTCAGACTTGAAATGTCCAAAACTTAATTCAGTATCTCTTCCAATCAACCTCCTCTTCACACCATATTTCTCTTTCTCAGTAGCATCATCATCTCTTCTAGTTCCCCATCTAGAAACCCTAATCATTTTAAATTCTTTCCTCTTATTTCTTTTTTTTTTTTTCCTGGTGTCCCCTGGGGTTTGTAAAGCTCTCCAGACATTGAGACTGTGCGGGCATGTCTCACTCCAAATTGGGCGAAATCAGTCATTGATTTTAATAGATTTTCACCAGGTACCTTTTCTGCGTTAAGCAGTGGGTTAGAGGCTAGACTCAGAGATGAGTAAAACCAGACCCCACCCCCTGACCTAGCCCTTCTTGCTCAAGAAGCCAACACTTAGTGAGAGCATCGGAAAGCCTGGTGGGCTTCTGAGCCCTGGGACTGGAGAAGTGGGGGTCCCAAAACCCATTACAAGATCAAAGAGAATAACAACAGGAAACTGCCAGAAATACCCAGTGATGGGCAAAGGGGCCTGTCCACATACCACTTGATGCACAAGAACCCGTGTCCTTACTTCAGAGTACATGTGTGTTCACAAGCACGTGGAGCCCAAGGGCCTGTGCAGCTGTCCATGTGGGGATGGGTATCAGGCTTCTGATTGGGATGCACAAGTGGTGTGGGAGTCTCTTTTTTAATTATTATTATTATACTTTAAGTTTTAGGGTACATGTGCACAACGTGCAGATTTGTTACATATGTATACGTGTGCCATGTTGGTGTGCTGCACCCATTAACTCGTCATTTAGCATTAGGTATATCTCCTAATGCTATCCCTCCCCCTTCCCCCCTCCTCTTATTTCTTTTATCTTCCTCATTGTTAGTCACCAAATCTTGAGTTTACCTGTGAGAGCCTGGGCGATCAATTTAAGTTGTTCCAGTTAGGCTTTTATTGCAAAGCAGTCATTTGTATTTTCTTAAGGATCTTAGGAAAAGCATGAATTAGAGCAGAGCCTACCCAGATATAGAGAGAACTAGATGGCTGTGGGTTCTGGAACTGGCTACACTCTTTGACTGTCTCTTGGTTTTGTGTTCAGCTCTTCCTCATGATTTTCATCTTTCTGTATCCTTTCAGCTTTTGCCCCAGATAGTAATCCCTTCATTATCTCAGTACTTGCATGTCTAAAATTCCAGAAAGAAAATATGATTCAGCTAAAAAATATCTCTGCTTGGCAGGACCTTTAATGTTAGGTGCTGGCCAGCCAGTTGATTTCTGGTGTCCCTATGTCCAGTATGTGCCTCAGCCTGCTGAGTAGCTGGGATTACAGCCACCACCACACCCAGCTAATTTTTTGTAATTTTTAGCAGAGACAGGTTTTCACCATGTTGCTTAGACTGGTCTTGAACTCCTGACCTCAGGTGATCCGCTCACCTCAGCCTCCCAAAGTGCTTGGATTATAGGCGTGAGCCACAGGGCCCAGCCCACCTGAGGCTTCTTTTTCCTTCCCAAGCCACATCACCATCCTGGTGGAACTCTCCTGTGAGGACAGCCAAGGCCTGAACTACCTGCGGTGGGGAGCACCTCAGGGTTTGCCCAGGCAACCAGCCAGCCCTGGTCCAAGGCATCCTGGAGCGAGTTGTGGATGGCCCCGTGCCCCACCAGACAGTGCGCCTGGAGGACCTGGATGAGAGCGGTGAGCCCCAGGCTGGGGAGCCAGTGCTGCCTGGCATCCTCCGGCCATCCTACCTGGCTGAGGGGCTGGGCCTGGGCCTGCCGGTGACAGCCATCCCTGTCCTTCCTGCTGAGGGGGCAGGCTGTCAAAGCTTATGTGAAAGCAGCTGAAGAAACAGTCACAGCCCATAAGGCAATGCTCCCTGGCCTTCGTTTCCCCAGTGATAACGACACTGCCAGAATATCCCCCTCAGTGCAGTGGCCAAAGTCAGAAAGTGGGATTAGCCAGGCATGGTGGCTCCCAGCACTTTGGGAGGCCAAAGCGGGTGGATCACTTGAGGTCAGGAGTTCGAGACCAGCCTGGAACATGGCAAAACCCCATCTCTACTAAAAATAAAAAATAGTAGGGCGTGGGGGCACATGTCTATAATCTCAGCCACTCAAGAAGCTGAGGCATGGGATTACGGCTGCCAGAAAAAATGTTGTTGCCCAAGCTAGAGTGCAGTGGCGCAATCTCGGGTCACTGCAACCTCCACCTGCCAGGTTCAATAGATTCTCCTGCCTCAGCCTCCCAAGTAAGTGAGATTACAGGCATGTGCCACCACGCCTGGCTAATTTTTTGTATTTTTAGTAGAAATGGGGTTTCACCACGTTAGCCAGGTGAATCCCAAAGTCCTGGGATTACAGGCAAGGGCCACCACACCCAGCCGATATTTTGAATTTTTAAGGTTCATCAGCTTGGTCATTTGTGTGATCCAAAGTTGTAGGCATTTTAAAAACATTAAAAATGTTTTCATTTTTTATTTCTTCTATAATTTTAGACACATATTCATTTTTATTTCTTCTGCAGTTTTAGCTACATATCCCTAAGGTCATGCAGCTAGTAAAAGCTAAGATTCAAGCCCAGGTCTTCTCATTGTGTTGCTTCTCCAGTACTGCACTACCTCTCCAAGATGCTTTTGATGGTATCTACAGGATTGCTAAGACCATATATGGGAAAGGGCTTTGTAAACTGTGAGGCTTTTTTATGTAAAGCAGAACATGATGTGAGATTAAGAAAAGTAAATACTAAAGGAGAAAAGGATGATAAACCCATTTATATAGTCTCTCAATTTAACTTTTTTTAATCTTTTTTTTTTTTTTTGAGACAGAGTCTCGTTCTGTCACCAGGCTGGAGTGCAGTGGCACGATCTCGGCTCACTGCAACCTCTGCCTCCCGGGTTCAAGTGATTCTCCTGCCTCAGCCTCCCGAGTAGCTGGGACTACAGGCACGTGCCACCACTTCCAGCTAATTCTTTGTATTTTTAGTAGAGACAGGGTTTCACCGTGTTAGCCAGGATGGTCTTGATCTCCTGACCTCGTGATCCACCCGCCTCAGCTTCCCAAAATGCTGTGATTATAGGCGTGAGCCACCCACGCCCGGCCAAGTTTAAATGTTTATTTTAATGTTTGTGCAATAACGTCCAGTTTTACCAAGCAGAATGATCTGCACAGGAGCTTTTATGCAGAACTCACTGTTCTTCAGTTAGAGCTTGTTACTCTTAATAGTGAAATCAAATCCATCTTCAGTTGCTACATGGCTTTGTTAAACAGTTAAACTTGAGTTGGAGATGGTCTATCATAGGGAGGAATTTTCGCTCCACAGATGTGTTCATACAATGTATTTTCCCCTTTCCCCTGTAGAAACTTTGTGGAAAGATTATTTCAGTGTTAACCCTGATTGATATTTTAGTAATTAAACAAGTGTCTGTTACTCCTTTATCAAGCATTTAATGAGTGTCTTCGGTGTGCTAGGCACTGCACTAGACTCTAGGGAGTCAAGGATGAATCACACTTAGTTTCTACCCCCTGGGAATTCATTCTGGTAGGAGAAATTGTTAACAAAAAATTATCATCCTATGGGATATTTTTTTAAAGTATGAAATGAGATAATGTATGTGAGAAAACTTTGGAAGTTTTACACATTTAGGATTTTTTTCTCCAGTGCATAGCCTGATGCCTGACATATTTTAAATGCTCATTATACCCTTGAATGAATTGGTGAAGAGCCAAGAGTTATGAGAGCATAATACTAGAGTGTAGATGGATTAGTTCTGCCTGGATGGACAGGTGGGATGCGGAGGCTTCCAAGAATACAACTTTTGAACTGGACTTGGAAATATAAGTTGTTTAAGAATCGAGAGAGAAACGGGGCCGAAGGCAGGGGTGGCAGGTCAGTGTTGCTCGGGGGCTTCTCCATCCAGGTCCCTGGAGCTCCCGGTCCCTGGAGCTCCGCACTTGGGGGCACAACCTGCATGAGGCAGCGCCACTCTGGTGACTGGCCGGCCATGCCATCCCGGGCTGAGAACTATGAAGTGTTGTACACCATTGGCACAGGCTCCTATGGCCGCTGCCAGAAGATCCAGCGGAAGAGTGACGGCAAGATACTAGTTTGGAAAGAACTTGATTATGGCTTCATGACAGAAGCTGAGAAACAGATGCTTATTTCTGAAGTGAATTTGCTTTGTAAACTGAAAAATCCAAACATCGTTCATTACTATGATCGTATTATTGACCGGACCAACACAACACTGTACGTTGTAATGGAATATTGTGAAGAAGGAGACCTGGCTAGTGTAATTACAAAGGGAACCAAGGAAAGGCAATACTTAGATGAAGAGTTTGTTCTTCGAGTGACGACTCAGTTGACTCTGGCCCTGAAGTAATGCCACAGACGAAGTGGTGGTGATCATACTGTAGTGCGTCGGGATCTGAAACCAGCCAGTGTTTTCCTGGATGGCAAGCAAAACGTCAAGCTTGGAGATTTGGGGCTAGCCAGAATATTAAACCACGACACGAGTTTTGCAAAAACATTTGTTGGCATACCTTATTACATGTCTCCTGAACAAACGAATCACATGTCCTACAATGAGAAACCAGATATCTGGTCATTGGGCTGCTTGCCGTATGAGTCACGTGCATTAATGCCTCCATTTACAGCTTTTAGCCAGAAAGAACTCGCTGGGAAAATCAGAGAAGGCAAATTCAGGCGAATTCTATACCGTTACTCTGATGAATTGAATGAAATTATTATGAGGATGTTAGAGGATTACCATCAACCTTCTGTTGAAGAAATTCTCGAGAACCCTTTAATAGCAGATTTGGTTGCAGAAGAGCAAAGAAGAAATCTTGAGAGAAGAGGGCGACAATTAGGAGAGCCAGAAAAATTGCTGGATTCCAGCCCTGTATTGAGTGAGCTGAAACTAAAGGAAATTCAGTTAGAGGAGCAAGAGCGAGCTCTCAAAGCAGGAGAAGAAAGATTGGAGCAGAAAGAACAGGAGCTTTGTGTTTGTGAGAGACTAGCAGAGGACAGACTGGCTATACCAGAAAATCTGTTGAAGAATTACAGCTTGCTAAAGGAACAGAAGTTCCTGTCTCTGGCAAGTAGTCCAGAACTTCTTAATCTTCCATCCTCAGTAATTAAGAAGAAAGTTCATTTCAGTGGGGAAAGTAAAGAGAATGTCATGAGGAGTGAGAATCCTGAGAGTCAGCTCACATCTAAGTCCAAGTGCAAGGACCTGAAGGTCCTTGCTTCATGCTTCATGCTGCCCAGCTGCGGGCTCAAGCCCTGTCAGATATTGAGAAAAATTATCAACTAAAAAGCAGAGAGATCCTGGGCATGCGCTAGCCGGGTAGAGAGACACAGAGCTGTGTACAGGATGTAATATCACCAACTTTTAGAGACTGATGTTCAAATGCTGTAGCGTTATATACTTGGTTCCATGAGCCGTGCCTTTTTGCATAGTCCACATGATATTTCAGAATTGGTGTTGCTGTTCTTTAGCAACTGTTGTACAAAATGTTCACATTTAATTTTTCTTTCTTCTTTTAAGAACACATTATAAAAAGAATACTTTCTTGTTTGGTTGGGCTTTTAATCCTGTGTGTGATTACTAGTAAGAACATGAGATGTGACATTCTAAATCTTGGGAGAAAAAAATAACACGAAAAAAAATTTAATGAGGAGTAGCACTCACTGCATAGTTTTAAATGACTGAGTGGTGTGCTTACAATTGTCATGTCTAGATTTGAATTTTAAGTCTGAGATTTTAAATGTTTTTGAGCTTAGAAAACCTAGTTGGATGCCATTTGGTCATTAATACCATGACATCTTGCTTATGAATATTCCATTGCTCTGTAGTTCAAATCTGTTAGCTTTGTGAAAGTTCATCACCGTGATGTCTGTATTCTTTTTTCCTTTTTATTCTGTTTAACAGAATAAAAGAATTCTTTAGTTTCCCTGTAAAAAAAAAAAAAAAAAAAAAAGAACCGAGAGAAGCGGTTCTGCCGGGGCAGCTGTCAGCCATTAAAGTGCCTGGATTTACATGAACCACATATCTACAGGCTAATACAGTTTACAGGATGCTTTTGTTTACACTATCTCTTTTGAGTCTTACGACAGTTCCATGAGGTGAATTCATACAACCAAGAGAAGCCCTGACCAGAACCTGGGTTCTAGGGTGTAAGAGACAGCATCCAGCCAGTTTTTTCTTTATAGTTTCACGAATGTTATGATTGCTAATATTATGGTATTTCTATTATTATATTTGTGAAAGCATGGTTTTCTGAGTTACAAGTATGTGAAAGACACATGTATACATGTAATGAAATGTATAGTTTTCCTTTTATTTCTGTAAAGCAAGTTAGCTTGTATTGATACATGATGAGTTTTTTTCAGAGGTTTCAGAAACAGGTTAGAAAATGCTTCCATAGTATTTCATAGATTCTTTATAATTTGAGCAGTTTTTCAGGGTTTTCAGTCCATTTAAACCATTTATCTAATGAACAGTAAATAGAAACTCTGAGCTCTACATTCTCTTGTAAGCTTTCTTTTTCTGTTATAGTTGAGCAAATTTGTTGACATTCTTATATTTTTGCATTTTGATTTTTTGCAAAATGTTTGGTTAAAATACTTTGGGGGAAAAATGCAAGTACTTTGTTCTCATTTATAGTTGACTTCCTACTTTGTTTATGTTGTCTTCTGTATGTATTAAGACAGTGAAGTACTGGCAAAAGAATAGGTAAATAGATCAATGGAACAAAATAAGCACCCCAGAAATAGACCCATACAAATAGAGGCCACTCATCTTTGGCAGAGGAGCAAACGCAATTTAATGGAGAAAAGATTGTCTTGACAATAAATAGTGCTGGAAACAACTAGACATCCACATGTGGAATAATGAATATAAACACTGACCTTACACCTTTCCCAACAATTAACACAAAACAGACCATAGACCTAAATGTAACACAAAACTAGCAAACTTCTGTAAGTTTAATAACATAGGAGAAAATCTAGGTGACCTTGGGTTTGGCAATGAGTTTCTAGATGCAACACAAAAACACCATCTACGAAAGAAAAAATGGACAAGATGGACCTCATTAAAGTGAAACATGTCTGCTGTGCCAGAGACACTGTTAAGAATGAAAAGACAGGCTGGGCGCGGTGTGGTGGCCCATGCCTGTGACTCCAGTTACTTGGGAGGCTGAGGCAGGAGGATCCCTTGAAGCTCAGGAGTTGAAAGATGCAGTGAGCTGTGATGGTGCCACTGCATTCCAGCCTGGATGACAGAGAGACGCCATCTCTACAAAGAAAAAAAAGAAATAATGCAGAGAAGTCTCATGTACGGGCCCACTAAGTTTTATAGTGTTTTTGCTTTATTGCACTTTGCAGATATTGTTTTTTACCTATTGAATGTTTGCGGCAACCCTGTGTCAAGCAAGTCTTGCGGTGCCGTGTTTCTAACAGCATATGCTCACTTTCTGTCTCTGCATTACGTTTCGCTGATTCTCACAATATTTTAGATGTTTTCATTATCATGTTATAGTGATCAGTGATCTTTAATGTTGCTATTGTAATTGTTTACAAGCTCATTGATATAAGAGGGTGAACTTAATGTTGTCTATGTGTCTTTTTGTTTTGTTTCGTTTTGTTTTGTTTTGAGACAGAGTCTTTCTCTGTCACCCAGGCTGGAGTGCGGTGGCATGATCTCAGCTCACTGCAACCTTCACCTTCCGGGCTCAAGCGATCCTCCCACCTCAGCCTCCCGAATAACTACAGCAGGCATGTGCCACCACACTCAGCTAATTTGTAAATTTTTTGTAGAGACGAGGTCTCATTATATTGCCCAAGCTAGTCTCCAACTCCTGGACTCAAGCAATCCTCCCACCTCGGCCTCCCAAAGTGCTGGATTATAGGCATGAGCCACTGCACCCTGCCAGTTATGTGTGTTCTGACTGCGTTGTCCACCATCCATTCCCAGCTCGCTCCTTCTTCTCAGGCCTCTCTATTACCTGATACACAACAGTATTGAAATTAGGCTAATTAATAACCATGCAGTGCCCTATACATGTTCAGGTGGAAAGAAGAACTGTGTGATTCTCACTTTCAATCAAAAGTCAGGAACAACTACCTTTAGTGCAGAAAGCATAACGAAAACCGACCTAGGCTGAAAGCTAGGCCTCTTGTGCCCATTAGCCTAGTTGTGAAAGCAAAGGAAAAGTTCTTGAAGGAAATTAAAAGTGCTTCTCCAGTGAATACACAAATGATAAGAATGCAAAACAGCCTTGTTGCTGATGTGGAAAAAGTTTTAGTGCTGGTTAGAACATCAAATCACCCACAACATCCCCTTAAGGCAAAGCCTAATCCAGGGCAAGCCCCTAGCTCACTTTAGTTCTGTGAAAGCTGAGGGAGGTGAGGAAGCTGCTGAAGAAAAGTTTGAAGCTAACAGAGGTTGTTAGTTCATGGGGTTTAAGGAAAGAAGTCATCTCTATAATATGAAAATGCAAGGTTGGCCGGGTGCGGTGGCTTTTATGATTCCTTGAATCAAGGCTATAAAGATATTTTTCTATGTTTTCTTCAAATAGTTTTAAGGTTTTCTCAAGGTCTAATGTCTAATCCATCTAGAATTTTTTTGTGGTCACAAGGAAGGAATCGAACTTAAATTTTTCCCTAAGTGGATATCTAAATGTCCTAATTCTCTGTACTGTGTGGTCCAACCTTTTGCCACTACTTCGAACATAAAGTAGTTTGCTAGCTACTCATTTCCAAGGGGAGTTCTGGGAAAATCTCTATACATCACGTCTGTCACAAGGTCAAGGAAACAAAAATGCAAAATAGACTTATAATTTCAATAAATACTGAAACCATATTTGATGAAATTAAACAACCCTCCCTAACTTAAAAACAGTAATAACAACAAACTTAGGATAAAAATAGAGGAAATAATGGGACATTTCCTTAACAAGATAACTACTTTTTAATTTTTACACTTATAATTTTTCAAATTAAAAAAAAGAGAGATAAGGGGTCTTGCTGTGTTGCCCAGGCTGGTCTCGAGCACCTGGGCTCAAGTGATCCTCCTGCCTCAGCTTCCCACAGTGCTGGGATTACAGGAATGAGCCACCATGCATGGCCAACTACTATTATCTTAAATAGTTCATATGTACATACAAGTAAATGGAGAAATGTATTCTTTATTAAATCAGGAATGAGATAAAGATGCCATATTGGCCAGGCATGGTGGCTCATGCCTGTAATCCCAGCACTTTGGGAGGCCAAGGTGGGAGGATGATTTGAGCCCAGAAGTTCAAAACCAGCCTTGGCAACACAGCATGACCCCATCTCTACTAAAAATTAAAAAAATAATAATAAGCATTAGCTGGGCGTTGTGGCATGCGCCTATTATTGGGGAAGCTGAAGCAGGAAGATCGCTTAAGCCTAGGAGTTTGAGGCAGCAGTGAACTATGATTATATCACTGCACCCCAGCCTGGGTGACAGAGTGAGACACTGTTCTAAAAAAATAATTTGCAAATTAAAAATTAAAAATTAAAAAAATTTAAAAAGATGCCACTATCAACAAGTGTTTGGCTGGGCACGGTGGCTCACGTCTGTAATCCCAGCACTTTGAGAGGCAGAGGTGGGTGGATCACTTGAGGTCAGGAGTTCAAGACCAGCCTGGGCAACATGGGGAAACCCTATCTCCACTAAAAATACAGAAATTAGCCGGGCGTGGTAGCACACGCCTGTAATCCCAGCTGCTAGGGAGGCTGAGGCAGGAGAACCGCTTGAATCCAGAGGGTGGAGGTTTCAGTGAGCTGAGATCCTGCCACTGCACTCCAGCCTGGGCAGCTGAGCGAGACTGTCTCAAAAAAAAAATTAAGATAAGTGTTTGGAAATCAATTTATTTCCTTATACCAAGAGAAAGCAGCCCAAATATGTAAAGGGAAACTCCTGGGCAAAATGATAGTATGGAGCCAGTGAACCCAGTTAACAAACCTCCTCCTTCCAGTATTCTCTAAAGTGACCAGTGAAATTAAAGATAGGGGAGACTGGCATCAGTGGCAGGAACTAGAGAAATATGCCAATCATATGCCAGGCCTCAAAGCAAGGGGGTACCCAGCTGGATCTAATAATACCTCTTATTATTTATTATTCTATTATTTGCTAAACTTCTCTGAACCCGGTATTGTGCTGAGGCTGTATATGCATTATCCTATTTAATTCTTGCATCAGTAAACCTATCAAGTAGATATCCTTATCCCCATTTTAAAAAATAAGATATATTAAATATATTTGATTCAAGGGTAGAGAGTGGCAGATCCCAGTTTGGAAGCTAGGTAGATCTGGTTCCAAAATTCATGGTCCTCAGCATGATCAGGCCTCTTGACTCTCAAGTCCTGGGAAAGGCACTAAATAGAGAATCTGGAGAAGTGTGGAGGTGAGAAAGGGACAAATGGGATATGGAGGGAGCGCAGAGTGGCAAGCCCTGTGCATTTAGGGGAGAACCCTCATAACCACCTGCATGAATGAAGTGCCGTAATGTGCAGACTTTTCTCTTTCACTTAATGCTCCCATATCCTCATAATCCACACAGATTGTGATGGAACCTGCCACGGTTATGGAAGCATGTAGAGTGTGAAGCTTGCAGAAGTTAGGAGGTGGCCCAGGGCACACAGGTACTATTTAGGAATTTGGGGATTTGTTTCCCAGGCGCCTGTGTTGCCTCCACAGGCAATGCTACAGGATGTGCGCAGGTTCTCCCAGCCTGGCTGGGCCGGGGCACAAGTGGTGGGGAATCTGGCAGGAGCTTGCTCTCCCAACTCATACCCAAAGGCAAAGGGCAAAGGAAACAGGAAATAGGGGCTGGTCATCTCTCTGGGGAGAGAAGTGGGGTGAGAGGACAGCCCAATTAAAAGAGCCTCAGTGGTTGGGAGTGCCTGAGCTGTACAAAGCCTCCTTGTCTTCTCCCTTTGGCACAAGAGAGGATTTCCAGAGATACCAGGAAGACCCATGCTGGGAGAGCTCTCAGTGAGCACTGGGCAAGGCTAGCCCATTCTCTGCACAGATGGACAGGGGCTACTAACCCAAGGCACAGAAGTTATAGCCGGAGAAAGTGAGCCAGTGAAGTGTGAATGTGGATGTCTCTGTTGAGGGAAGGAAAGGAGGGGGCGACTCGACAGGTTGAGATTTAAGTTTTTTGAGGTTGGATGCAGTGGCTCACTCCTGTAATCCTAGCACTTTAGGAGGCTGAAGTGGGAGGATGGCTTGCATTCAGGAGTTCAAGACCAGCCTGGAAAATATAGCAATACCCTGGCTCTACAAAAAAATCTAAAAATTAGCCGGGTGTGGTGGCACACCTGTAGTCCCAGCTACTCAGGAGGCTGAGGTAGAAGGATGACGAGCTCAGGAAGTCGAGGCTACAGCAAACTGTGATTACACCACTGCATGCCAGCCTGGGTGACAGAGTGAGACCCATCTCAAAAAAGGAAAAAGTAGTTTTTTGTTACTTTTTTTTTTTTTTTGGTTCGCAAGTTTTGTTCAAGAACTCATACAAAATATTCCAGATAAATGAAATTTAATCCTCATCTCCCTCCTCTTTCTCGTCCTGGTTAATTTGGAAGTAACATAACTCTGTTTGCTGTTAGCAGCTACGCAAACCAATCACGTAGATTATTCTTCTTCAAAAATTTTTGGTGTGATATTTCAAATACCTTTTGGAAAAAGGCACCTCAGATGTCATGGTGATCTTGCTCTTGCTCCTTTTGATGGTCACCACCCCTCCACCAAGCTTCCCAGCTTTTCAGTTCACTTTGATCCTCTCTTGCAAAAACTGCTCAAAATTGGCAGCATCCGTGATTCCATCTTCCACAGGGTGGGTGCAATCAAGAGTGAACTTCAGAACCTGCTTCCTTTTTTGCCCCCATTCACCACAAGCTTTTTCCCGGGTGCCATGGCAGCAGTGGAGGCAGAAAGAGAGCTGTTTCTTTTTAAATTGTTATTAATTTTATAAAGTTTCCGTAGCTTTGGGGGTACAAGTTATATTTAGTTACATGAATGAATTCTGTAACGGTGAATTCTGAGATTTTAGTGCACGCACCACCCAAGTAGCATTCATCATAACCGATATGTAGTTTTTTATCCCACACTCTCCGCCCATCCTCCCCCTTCTGAGTTTCCAGAGTCCATTATATCACTCTGTATGTCTCTGTGTCCTCATAGCTTAGCTCTCACTTGTAAGTAAGAACATAGGGTATTTGGTTTTCCATTCCTGAGTTACTTCACTTAGAATAATGGTCTCCAACTCCATCCCAGTTGCTTCAGAAGACATTATTTTGTTCCTTTGTATGGCTGAGTATTAGTCCATGGTGTACATATACCACATTTTATCGACTCATTGGTCAATGGGCACTTAAGGTGGTTCTGTACCTTGGGAATTATGAACTGTGCAATAGGCATACCCCTTTAATATGCCCCCTTTCTTTTCTTTTCTTTTTTTTTTTTAGACAGAGTCTTGCTCTATCGCCCAGGCTGGAGTGCAGTGGTGCAGTCTCGGCTCACTGCAAGCTCTGCCTCCCGAGTTCACACCATTCTCCTGCCTCAGCCTCCCGAGTAGCTGGGACTACAGGCGCCCACCACCACGCCCAGCTAATTTTTTGTATTTTTATTAGAGACAGGTTTTCACTGTGTTAGCCAGGATGGTCTCGATCTCCTGACCTCATGATCCGCCCGCCTCGGCCTCCCAAAGTGCTGGGATTACAGGCGTGAGACACCGCGCCCGGCTCTGCCCCCTTTCTTACATGTGGCCCTGAATCCTCCCAGGTAGGAGAAGCTGTAGGAAGACGGGGAGGTCTGCTTGGTACAGGGAGAAGCCAAGTGTAGCGTGAGGGTAGAGGTTTAATACTAAGAGTTATGCCTGGGCATGGTGGCTCACACCTGTAATCGCAGCACTTCAGGAGGCCGAGGTGGGCAGATCACCTGAAATCAGGAGTTTGAGACCAGCCTGGCCAACATGGTGAAACCGCATCTCTACTAAAAATAATAATAATAATACAAAAAAATACAAAAATTAGCCAGGTGTGGTGGCACACACCTGTAATCCCAGCTACTCGGGAGGCTGAGGCACGAGAATTGCTTAAACCCAGGAAGTGGAGGTTGCAGTGAGCTGAGATTGCACCACTGCACTCCAGTCTGGGTGACAGAGCCAGACTCCATCTCAAAAATAATAACAACATTATTAACAGTTATAATACCAATAGTTATCGTTCTAACAGCCAACATTAATGATTTTGACTTCATGTCCAACCTGGTGTGAAGTATTACATAGTCTGTTTTTTTAAATTTGTAAAAATTTTATTATAGATGTATTTTTCTGATTAAAGTGTGTTTAATTTTTAATTTTTATGGGTATATAGTAGATATATCTATTTATGGGGCACAAGAGATGTTTTGATGCGGGCATACAATGTGTAATAATTACATCAGCGTAAATGGGGTATCTGTCACCTCAAGCTTTTATCATTTCTTTGTGTTACAAACATTCCAATTGTACTCTTTTAGCTACTTTTAAATGTACATAGAAAAGGTACAGTAAAAAGAAAAAGAAAAAAACATAAAATGTGCAATAAATTATTGTTGACTATAATCACCCTGTTTTGCCATCAAATAATAGATCTTATTCATTTTAACTGTATATATTTCAATAGTTTTTGGAACAGGTGGTTTTTGGTTGCATAGATAAGTTCATATATATATATATTTCAATAGTTTTTGGAATAGGTGGTTTTTGGTTACATAGATAAGTTCTTTTTTTTTTTTAATTAGACTTTAAATTCTGGGATATATGTGCAGAATGTGCAGGTTTGTTACATAAGTATATACGTGCCATGGTGGTTTGCTGCACCCATCAACCCGTCATCTACATTAGATATTTCTTCTAATGCTGTCCCTCCCCTAGCCTCCACCCCCTGACAGGCCCCAGTGTGTGATGTTCCCCTCCCCGTGTCCCTGTGTTCTCATTGTTCAACTCCCATTTATGAGTGAGAATATGCAGCGTTTGGTTTTCTGTTCTTGTGTTAGTTTGCTGAGAATTATGGTTTCCAGCTTCTTCCATGTCCCTGCAAAGGATATGAAGTTCTTTTCTTTTCTTTCTTTCTTCTTTTTTTTTTTTTTTTTTTTTTTGAGACAGGGTCTCACTCTGTCGCCCAGACTGGAGTGCAGTGGCACGATCTTGGCTCACCGCAACCTCCACCTCCCAGGCTCAAGCGATTCTCCTGCTTCAGCCTCCTGAGTAGCAGAGATTACAGGCATGCACTACTACCACCCAGCTAACTTTTGTATTTTTTGTAGACAGAGTTTCACCATGTTGACCAGCCTGGTCTCGAACTCCTGATCTCGAATGATCCACCCACCTTGGCCTCCCAAAGTGCTGGGATTACGGGCGTGAGCCACTGTGCCCGGCCAACATGGATGAGCTATTTAGTGGCAATTTCTGAGATTTTGGTGAGCAGTGTACACTGCATTCAATGTGTGGTATTCTATCCCTCGCTCCCTCCCACACTCCCTTTCCCCAGTCCCCAAGTTCATTATATCATTCCTGTGCATTACATCCTCATAGCTTAGCCCCCACTTGTAATTTAGAACATACGATCTTTGGTTTTTCATTCCTGGTTACTTCACTTAGAATAATGGTCTCCACCTCCATCCAGGCTGCTGCTAATGCCATTATTTTATTCCTTTTTATGACTGAGTAGTATTCAATGGCTACATAGTCTAGTTTTCAGTTAATCTTGGCTGCTACCCTATGCAATGGCTTCTGTGATTATCCCAGAGCTTAGCAATAGCAGTTTTCCAACCAGTGTCTTTTGAATTGATAAATCCACATTTAGAAGGGGAGGAAACTGGCCTAAATTGAGGGCCCAGCAAAAGAACTCAGCCACCCGCAGTGCCTGGTGTCCACGTAGTCGGTTTTGAGATGTTTTAGCAGCAGGTTCACATTGCTAAGTGTCAATTCAGTTCACTGTGAAATCCATGGCTATTTCCTGAAAATACATCAAGCTATGAATTCCCTGTGGGTTCGGTGGGTAGAAGTGGGTTGGCATTTCCCTCCAGCTCTTTGAAAATTTTCTCTGCAATGCTCTCTAGGGAGATGATCTTATTTTGGCTCCTTGAGGTGACAGTCAGAGTAAAATATAAACTGTCTGAAGACATTGCTTGGCTGACTGTTCAGAGCATTTCCGAGTTAGTATCTCTTAGTAAGGGAGGCAAAGGAATTGAGTTCAAATCGTGACTTTGTTCTTGCTAGTGGTATAGCTTCAGGCCATTCACCTCCTCTCCCTGAGTCTCACCAACAAAGAGGGAGTAATAATAACATCTGTGGTCACAGAAGAATGTGAATTCTTTTGCTCCCTGCCTCTAACCCGCTTTCCTGGGCCTGTCACTATGTTTTCTTTGCTGTGTGTACTTGCAGGTTATAAGTCTCCTGAGTGCAGAGAGGGTTGTGAGTAATGCCAGCTAGGCCTGCAGAGGCCCTGGAGGAGGATCAAGGTTTCCAGGAGAGATGACTGGTGATCAAGGAAGAGCTGGCAACTAACTCTGCTTCCTGAGGGTGTAAAGTAAAGGCCCCTGACAGGGTCTTTAAACATGAGTAGGAGTTTCCTAAGCAGTGCATCATTCATACCATGGAGATTGATGGAGGTGGGTGTGTGGCAGGAGAGTGGGCAGTAAATCTGGGGGAAATTTTGGTCATATTATGGGGGGCCTTGAATGCCACTCTCAAAAGAGTAACCCTTCATGCTGTAGGCAGAGGTGCCAGCAGGTTTTTGGCTGAAGAATTACACAAACCCATCCAATTCCCTCTTTCTTTTTCTTTTTAAGTATTTTTCCTTGGAAATAATTTTGAGTTTACAAAAAGAGTACAGCAAATTCTTGTATAACCTTCACCAGCCTCCCCAAATATTAACATCTCACATAGCTACAGAATTATCAAAGCCAGGAAATGAACATTAATGCAATACTGTCTGTGAATCTACAGACTTTATTCAGTGTTGCCAGTAGCCCCACTAACGTCCTTTTTCTTCTCCAGAATGCGATCCAGGACTGCATGTGGCATTCCACTGCCGTGTCTCAGTGGGATCCTTCCATCCAGAACGGCTCCTCCGTCTTTCTCCTCCTCTCATAATTTTGACAGTTTTAAATCATCCAGGCTATTTTTGTCTTTCATAACCTTGACACTCTTGAAGAGTCCTGGCAATTATTTTGTAGAATGTCCTCCAACTTGTGTTTGTCTAGTGCTTTCTCACAATGAGAATGAGGTTTTGTGTTTTTGGTGAGAACACCACAGAAGCGAGGTTATACCCTTCCCCATGCATCGCATCAGGAGGCACATGTGATATTGCTGCATCCTATTACTGGAGACATTAACTTTGAGAGATGATGTGGCAAAGATTTATCCATTGTAAAGTCCTATTTTTCCTTCTGAACTTAATGAATATCTTATGAGGAGCTCTCTTGGAAACTATGTAAATATGTTGTTTATCATCATACTTTCACCCACCAATTTTGGCATTCATTGGTGATTCTTGTCTGCAATATTCATTACCACTGTGTTTTCCAACAGGTGATTTTTCTACTTTCATAATTCCTTCTCCATTTATTAATTGTAATTCAGTGGTAAGGAAGAGCTGTCCCTTCTCTCCCAATTACTTATGCAATTATTTCAGTACAAACTCGTGGATATTTAGTTTATTCTACCAGTGATAATCCATGACTAACATCATTTGTTTCATTGCTCCAGTTGTCCCAGGTATGGCCAATGTGAGCATCTTCAAGTCACCCGCTGTGTTTGTTTGAAATGCCCTTATTCTATTTTGAGCACTTCCTTTCTGACATAAGATGTTCCAGGATTATTTTATAATTTCACTGACCCTGCCCTGTTCTTAATCATTTCGCCAAAGAACTCTGCTTCCTTTTTTGAGGGAATGTATTTAGAAACTAAGATCTGGGTGGTAGATGTCCTCATTGTTACTGGCGTGTCACTGTGTCTAGGGCCTCTCAGCAGACAGAGTTAGGGAATATGGGTTACCAACTCTGAAACTATATTATGGGTATTCTGAGATTCAGCAAATAAGTAAATATACTGTGTTTAGTGGGAGGTAGACTTCTCACTGTCAAAGAAAGAACTACAAATAAAAAGAGAAGGGCAAAATGAACCCTGTTGTGTTAGATTAGAATCAGAGGCATCAGTATGAGATCCTGATTTTTAATGTATACACAGATTGGCAGATATAGAAATAAATATGACTTGGCAATTCCATTCCTAGGCATATATCTAGCACAAATGCATGGTCATAAAAAAAAAAAAAAACATGGACAAGAATGATCAAACTGAGTGTGGTGGTGGCTCACGTCTGTAATCCCAAAACTTTGGGAGGCTGAGGCAAGCAGATTGCTTGAGTCCAGGAGTTTGAGACCAGCCTGGGTAACATGGCGAAACCCTGTCTCCACTAAAAATACAAAATTTGATGGGTGTGGTGGTGTGTGCCTGTAGTCCCAGCTACTTGGGAGGCTGAGGTAGGAGGATGGCTTGAGCCTGGGAGTCTGAGACTGAAGGGAGCCGAGATTGTACCACTGCACTCCGGCCTGGGGAACAGAGTGAGACCCTGTAGAAAGAAAGAAAAAGAAAGAGAAAGAAAGAAAGAGAGAGACAGAGGGAGGGAGGGAGGGAGGAAGGAAGGAAGGAAAAAAAAAAAAAGAAAGACTGATCATAGCTGCACTATTATAATAGTCCTAAGCTGGAAATGACTCAAATTACCATTGACATCAGACTAAAGAATGAATGACTGACCACTACATGCAACATTAGGGATGAAACTACAATTGATGAAAGACATTTTCTCAAAAAGTGCTGCATAATATCATTTATATAAAGCACAAACCAGGAAAATTAATCCATGTCACAACAACTCAGTATCAATTTCCTGCAAGAGAGACGAGGAGGGTTCTTAGCTGCTGGTAATGTTCTGTCATTTGGTCTGGGTGCTGGTTTCATGGGTGTGTTTAATTCTTAAAATGTATATACATTATCCATCAACACAAAGTTTTTTAAAATATTCATCTCCTTGCTCTAAGCCTCATTTTATCTTCATTTCAACTCAGCTGCTGCAGGGACCCCATAAAATGAATAGAATAGGACTAACCTCTAAACCTGCTCTGCTTCTCTTCCCTTCCAGAGTAGGATTGATACTTTCCTTCCAGGACTGGGACTCCTGTTTAATTTTCTTTTATTTCCCCTTGTTTTCTTTTTCTTTCTTTTTTTTGTTTTTTTTTGAGGCGGAGTCTCACTCTGTTGCCCAGGCTGGAGTGCAATAGCGATCTCGGCTCACTGCAGCCTCCATCTCCTGGGTTCAAGCGATTCTCCTGCCTCAGCCTCCTGAGTAGTTGGGACCACAGGCATGTGCCACTACGCCTGGCTAATTTTTGTATTTTTAGTAGAGACTGGGTTTCACCATGTTGGCCGGGCTGGTCTTGAACTCCTGACCTAAAATGATCCACCCACCTCGGCCTCCCAAAGTGCCAAGATTTAAGGCGTGAACCACCGCACTTGGCTTCCCTCTTCTTTTCACAAATTTGATTTTTTTTTGTTTTTTCCTGTTCTTTTCTTCCCTTTTTGTTTCATTTTTTTTTTCTTTTCTTCTTTTCTTTTCCTTTCATTTCCCTTCTCTTCTTTCTTTCTTTTTCTTTTCTTTCTTCTTTATCTTTCTTTTTTTTTTTTTGGTCACGCCCAGGTCTCTTGATCCAGTCCCACCTGCTGCTGTAGGGAGGGAAGAGATTATTTTAGCCCCACCCAACTAGGAGGCTGCATAGGTGTAAGGGGAGGAAAGTGACTTGCCAGGGGCTACCCTAGGTAGGAGATGGGGCCATATTCCAGAGTTATTGAAGGTTAATACCAGCTAATGGTCTTTCAGTTACTGCCCTCCGGGTATTCGAAAACAAGGATTAAGGAAGAGAATTACACTCTAATGCAATAGGCTTCCATCATTTGTAATGAATTAACTTCCATTATCCTCATTGTTAAAAGATACATTTATTAAAAAGGATAACATCATCAGTCTGGAGTGGCGGCTCATGCCTATAATAGCAGCATTTTGGGAGAATGAGTTGGGAAGATTGCTTAAGACCAGGAGTTCAAGACCAGCTTGGGCAATATAGTGCAACACCCCCTATACAAAATAATAATAATAATAATAATAATAATAATAATAATAATAATAATTATCCAGGCATGGTGGCTCAAGTGTGTAGTTCTAGCTACTCAGGAGGCTGAGTTCAGAGAATCACTTGAGCCCAGGAGGTCAAGGCTGCAGTGAGCCAAGCTTGCATCACTGCACTCAAGCCTGGGTGATAGAGCAAGACCCTGTCTCAAAAAAAATAAATAAATAAAATAAAATCATGACTCTCAAACAGCAGATTATAACTGACTCAAAGGAGAAGTCAAAAAATCTACATTTATATGGAGCAAAGGAATGTTGAAACAAATGCACCAACAGAGCTCAAGCCAGCTTCTTCCAGGGTGGGAAAGGAAGTCAGCTGAACCTCTACTGGTAGGACTAAATGTACAGGTCTATAGTCAAAAATTATTTTTCATTTCTATCAGTTATCTACATTGTACAAGCTGCAAAACAACACCCATGGAATCAAAAGCAGATAATGTGAAAGGGTGTGCTATAGGCAATATTTAATTTTCCATTGAAAGGAAATTTTTCCTACACTTTCCCTCTCTTTTGATAAAACATAACCTCATCTATTCCCGGGTAATTCAATAATAGTAACATATCAAATACACGTGTTTATTTCTGGCACCTCTCTTTTCATAAGAGGAAGTAACAAATCTTTTGTGATTTTCAATGGTATTTCTGGGAAAGCTCAGCTATCATTCCTTTTATTTTATTTTATTTCACATTTAGGAATTTTGGGAATGCAAAATCCAAAATTGTCAGGAGATTTGAACACTTAATGTAGGGTCATAGGTGTCTGAGAAATAATATTTGCCTACCCATTTGTAAGGGACAATACAACATTTAAAAATAGGCCAGGCAGCCCGATGTGGTGGTTCACGCCTGTAATCCCAGCAGTCTTGGGGGCCAAGGTGGGTGGATCACTAGGTCAGGAGTTCAAGACCATCCTGGCCAATATGGTGAAACCCCGTCTCTACTAAAAGTACAAAAATTAGCCGGGCATGGCACGCCTGTAGTCCCAACTACTTAGGAGGCTGAGACAGAAGAATTGCTTGAACCCAGCAGGCAGCAGTGAGCCGAGATCATGCCACCGCACTCCAGCCTGGGCAACAGAGGGAGACTCCCTCTCAAAAAATAAATTAATTAATTAAATTAAATAGGCGGGGCACAGTGGCTGACTCCTGTAATCCCAGCACTTTGGGAGGCCGAGGCAGGTGGATCACCTGAGGTCAGGAGTTCAAGACCAGCCTGGCCAACATTGTGAAACCCCTCCGTCTCTACTAAAAATACAAAAAATTAGCTGGGCGTGGTGGCGGGCACCTATAATCCCAGCTACTCAGAAGGCTGAGGCAGGAGAATCGCTTGAATCCAGGAGGCTGAGGTTGCAGTGAGCAGAGATCGTGTCACTGCACTCCAGCCTGAGCAACAAGAGTGAAACTCTGTCTCAAAAAAAAAAAAAAAAAGAAGAAAAAGAAACCCAAATAAATTAAAATAAATTAAAATAAAAATAAAGATAGAAAATAATATGATTGTATAGAACTTTAGCCCTCTCCTAAAAAACAAATGTTGTTTCTTTAAATAATCAAGGGCATAATAAAATCAACATGAAAATCAAAAAATTATTCTGGTAAAACACTGAATCTTTGCTATCTAGGTAGATTTACATAGAAAAAAAGAATAACCCTTCATAGTATAGGTGAAGATGGCAAACAGTAAACCAGGGAAACAAGGCTGGGAATATTAAACAAATTTTTAAAAGAATTTTAGTAAATTTAATACTGTTAAAATGCATATGATGTATTTTATATGCATTATATAGTGTAAACTATTATATATTATATATATTTTATATGATAAAGTGTATGTTGTTATAAAAGCAAACTTTTATAAGACCTTAAACACATTTCATAGTGTTTAACATATTTCAGACTGAAATATCATATATATATAAATATATACATATATATAAATACCAGCCTGGCCACCATGGTGAATCCTCATCTCTACTAAAAATACAAAAATTAGCTGGGTATGGTGGTGCATGCCTGTAATCCCAGCTACTCAGGGGGCTGAAGCAGGAGAATTGTTTGAACAGAAGTGGAGTTTGCAATGAACCGAGATCATGCCACTGCACTCCAGCCTGGGCAAGAGAGCTAGACTCCATCTCAAAAAAAAAAAAAAAAAATTCATGTCAGCATGCTCTTTTGCATTCTGCAGTAAACTCACCCTTGACTTTAGGACCAATCTCAAGGGGCCCATGAGGTCAGAACTAATTTCATAATGCTGCTGAGGTGCATTTATTGTACTTCATTCATTGTTGCTATTTTTTAATGAATCATTAAATAAGCTTTCTTAAAAGTTATGTTTTATAGCATCCAGGCGTGGTGGCTCGTGCCTGTAATCCCAGCACTTTGGGAGGCCCACGTGGGTGGATCAGTTGAGGTCAGGAGTTCCAAGATCAGCCTGGCCAACATGGTGAAACCCCATCTCTAATAAAAATACAAAAATTAGGTAGGTGTGGTGGCAGGTGCCTGTAGTCCCAGCTACCCAGTAGACTGAGGCACGAGAAACGCTTGGACAGGGGAGATCTCTAGTTCAGTGAGCCGAGATCGCACCACTGGACTCCAGCCTCAGTGACAGAGTGAGATGCCATCTCAAAGAAAAAAAAAAATTATGTTTTATAGGTATGTGGTGAGAGGAATGAAAAAATTTCATTTATGAAATTTATATTGAAATGTTTAACAGTAAATACTAATAGCTATAATACACAAAAAAAGCTCTTTGGTGTCCTCATTATGTTGGAGGTGTGTAAAGAGGTTTCACCAAGCAAACCAACTGAAAACAAACTCCCAAACCCCCTGCCCCAAACCTAATCTGAGTACTGCAGCTTTAAGACAAAACCACAGTACTTTATTTTCCTTAAAAAACAGAAGTATACCCAGGGGCAGTGGCTCACGCCTGTATTCCCAACACTTTGGGAGGCCAAGGTGGGTGCATCACCTGAGGTCAGAAGTACTAGACCAGCCTGGCCAACATGGTGAAACCCCATCTTTACTAAAAATTAGCCCTGTGTGGTGGTGGGCACCTGTAATCTCAGCTACTAGGAAGGCTGAGAGAGGAGAATTGCTTGAACCCGGGAGGCAGAGGTTTCAGTGAGCTGAGATCACGCCACTGCACTCCAGCCTTAAAAAAAAAAAAAAAAAAAAAAAACAGAAACACATACACAGTTGTATTTCTCTGAAACTACTGCTCCAAAGCATAGTGTCAATCGCTAACATTAATGATAACTTTTAAGTAAAGCAAATTCTATTTCATAGAGAACACAGGAAGTTGGACATTTGTAACTGTGATTGTCACTTAACATATAGCAGACAAGCAAAGCTCGTGAATGCACGTGACACAACTCTCTGCAGCCATATGAATCCCTTATGGTATAACTTCTCCAAGTGGCAAAAAGAAACACGTTTATTAACAGATCCAAAGATGTGAGCTCTTCGTAGCATATAAAAAAAGAAGCAAGGGCCAGGCCGGTGGCTCATGCCTGTAATCCCAGCACTTTGGGAGGCCAAGGCGGGTGGATCACTTGAGGTCAGGAGTTGGACACCAGCCAGGGCAACATGGCAAAACCCTGTCTCCACTAAAAATACAAAAATTAGCCAGGTGTGGTGGCACACGCCTGTAATCCCAGCTACTCGGGGGGCTGAGGCAGGAGAATTGCTTGAACCCAGGAGGTGGAGGTTGGAGTGAGCTGAGATTGCACCACTGCACTCTAGCCTGGGCAACAGAGCAAGACTCTGTCTCAAAAAATAAAAATAGGCCAGGTGCAATGGCTCATGCCTGTAATCCCAGCACTTTGGGAGGCCGAGGCAACCGGATCACCCAAGGTCAGGAGTTCGAGACCAGCCTGGTCAACATGGCGAAACCCTGTCTTTACTAAAAATACAAAATTAGCCTGGTGTGGTGGCAGGCGCCTGTAATCTCAGCTACTCCGGAGGCTGGGGCAGGAGAATCACTTGAACCTGGGAGGTGGAGGTTGCAGTGAGCGGAGATCATGCCATTGCACTCCAGCCTGGCCAACCAAGAGTGAAACTCCATCTCAAAGAATAATAATAATAATAAGCCTGGGCATGGTGGCTCACGCCTATAATCCCAACTCTTAGGGAAGCAGAGGTGGGAGGACAGCTTCAGCCCAGGAGTTCAAGACCTGCCTGGGCAGTATAGCAAGACCCTGATCTCCACAAAAAGGAAAAAAAAAAAGTATAAAAAATAAAATAAAATAAAAATAATAAATAAATAAAAATAAAGAAGCAAAAGTTTATACACTTAAATTGTGCTTCATAATGCATGTTTTAGTCTTTCGTTTTTCCTAGAAATTATTTATGTACCCAGCAAATATCCATCAATTAAATGAGTACAAGGTTTTGAGTTACCTAAAGATCTTTGAAATTATTCTAAAGTGGGCATACCATGAAAGATAACTTTTTTTAAATTTTGAGATGGAGTTTCACTCTGTTGCCCAGGCTTGGAGTGCAGTGGCACAATCTCGGATCACTGCAACCTCTGCCTCCCAGGTTCAAGTGATTCTCCTGTCTCAGCCTCCTGAGTAGCTGGGACTACAGGCCCACACCATCACATCTGGCAAATTTGTAAATTTTTAAATTTTTAGTAAAGACGGAATTTCATTATATTGGTCACACTGATCTCGAACTCCTGACCTCAGGTGACCCACCTACCTCGCCCTCCCACAGTGCTGGGATTACAGGTGTGAGAGACCTCGCCCAGCCAAAAGATAACTTTTGAAATAAAATTCATCAGTGCAATAAATCAATTTTGTTAAACACAGATTGACGTTTACATATTTAAACATGATGTAAAAGCAATGCTAGCTTATTTTATCAGTAAATATGTATAAGTTTAGGAAAAAATTTACAAGCAGAATAAAAATGTATGCTTGCATTATACAATAATATGGATGTACATTTCCAGAGTTCTTGTATTCATACACTGTATAAGAAGATGACAAACAATTTTGCAATGAAAAATCTTGTTCATACATTTTGGCATGCATCAGAATATATCTGTATTCCTGAGTCAAAGGGTTTGTGCATTTGTGATTTGATGCCAAATTGCCTTACAGAAGTGACTTTAATATATCCTCTCATCCTCAGTGTATAGAAATGCTTTTTTCCTCACACAGCTCTAACAAGCATGTCATAAAACTCTTTTTTTTTTTTTTTTGAGATGGAGTTTCACTCTTGTTGCCCAGGCTGGAGTGCAATGGCGCAATCTCAGCTCACCACAACCTCTGCCTCCCAGGTTCAAGCGATTCTCCTGTCTCAGCCTCCCGAGTAGCTGGGATTAGAGGCATGCGCCACCATGCCCGGCTAATTTTGTATTTTTAGTAGAAATGGGGTTTCTCCATGTTGGTCAGGCTGGTCTCAAACTCCCAAACTCAGATGATCCACCTGCCTTGGCCTCCCAAAGTGCTGGGATTACAGGCATGAGCCACCGCATCCAGCCATAAAACTCTTAAATATGTTCCTCAACACGATAGGTGGAAAATTGTTCCCTTAGTACAGTATTTTTTTTGTTTGTTTTTTGTTTGTTCATTAGTTTTTGTTTGTTGTTTTGTTTTGTTTTGTTTTGTTTTGGACGGAGTCTCTATCGCCAGGCGGGAGTGCAGTGGTGCAATCTCGGCTCACTGCAGCCTCCAGCTCCCGGGTTCAAGCGATTGTCCTGCCTCAGCCTCCCGAGTAACTGAGATTATAGGCACCCGGCACCATGCCCACGTAATTTTTGTGTTTTTAGAAGAAACGAGGGTCCACAATATTGGCCAGGTTGGTCTCGATCTCTTGTCCTCATGATCCGCCTGCCTCGGCCTCCCAAAGTGCTGGGATTATAGGCGTGAGCCATCGTGCCTGGCAACTTTTTTAATTAAAAAAAATAAAATAAAATGTCCAGAACTGTTTGTATTTCCTTTTCTGTGACCTAGATGTTTATATCCTTTACTTCTGTTTATTATTTTTGTGTTGGTAGGCTTCTTCCTATTGAATAGTGGAAGCTCTTTATGTATTAGGGAAGTTCATCTCTGCCTGTGATATGATTGCACATATTTCTTGCACATATTTCTCCCAGTTTCATGATTGCTTTCTCAGTTTGCTTACAATAGTTTTAACACAGAACTTTTTTATATTTCTACATTGTAAGATTTGCCAATATTTCCATTAATATCCCCCTATGACCTGTGGAGAACAGAGTTTTGGGCCCCAGCTGAGTGGCAAAGGGCACAGTCCCTCAGTGTGGAAGACCCACTGCAGGTGACCTTGATGCCAACAGGCGGCGGGCCAGGGGGATGATGTTGGTGACAATCTTCAACTACACTTGAGGATCAAGTGAGACGTGGGGTCTCACTTCGACAGGGTGAGAATGGATTGGCCCAGAAAGCACTCATTTCTCCTTTCAGCAAACATTCTTTGTGAGGTCGCCACAGTCTTTGCCTATGTTTTACAAATGTGACTGAGAACAGATGAAAGATCTGCCCAAGGTCACACAGGATTCTAAAACCTGTTTCTAACTGTGTCATCCTCCAGAACATGAATGTGCATCTTAGAGGATGATCCCCAACCAACATGTGATCTGAAACTACATATTGCCCATAAAAAAAAAAAAAAAAAAAAAAAAAGGCCAGGTGCAGTAGCTCATGCCTGTAATCCCGACACTTTGGGAAGCCAAGGTAGGTGGATCACTTGAGGTCAGGAGTTTGAGACCAGCCTGGCCAACATGGTGAAACCCTGTCTCTACTAAAAAATACAAAAATTAGCCGGGCATGGTGGCAGGCCCTTGTAATCCCAGCTACTCGGGAGGCTGAAGCAGGAGAATCACTTGAACCTGGGAGGTGGAGGTTGTAGTGAGTCAAGATGGCACTACTACACTCCAGCCTGGGTAACAGAGTGAAACTCCGTGTCCAAAAAATAATAGTAATAATAGCTTATGTGGGGAATGGGGTTGCTTGTTTCTGACTGAGGTATAAGTTCATTTGTAATGCAGTGTTGAAATGATTGCTTCTCCTAAAAGCAGATCTTGAGAAAAAAAAAAAAAAAAGAAAGAAACAGTTGTTGAATTCTCAGTGCTGTCTGATGGTGAGTTCCCAGCAGGCCAGATAAGCAGAGAGGACTGCGGAGGGAATTCTGCTGGGTGACAGCTGGGGCAAAGGTTAATATGTAATTGGGGGTCAATGTTAGGGGGGAAACTTGCCTCAAAGGAGCAGAAGTGTGGATTCAGGACCAACAAGAAATGAGTTTCGTGTGACACAGGAGTGAGGTTAGATTAGAATTTTTAGAATATCATAGGCAGAGTTTCGTTTTGAATAATTGCCACTCTTGGGAATCTCCAATTTGCTGTAGTTGATGCATAGGCCTTGATTAAAAAGAGATATATTCAGAACAGAAAACTGAGGGACTGTCACATGTAAGCGACTGCAGTAATGTGATTTAGTTAAAAACAAAACAGAAGGCCGAGGCGGGTGGATCACGAGGTCAGGAGATCGAGACCACGGTGAAACCCCGTCTCTACTAAAAATACAAAAAATTAGTCGGGCACGGTGGCGGGTGCCTGTAGTCACAGCTACTCAGGAGGCTGAGGCAGGAGAATGGCGAGAACCCGGGAGGCGGAGCTTGCAAAAAAAAAAAAACAAAAAAAAAAAAAACAGAACATCAAGCACTGGCCTGGAAGTGAGGACTCCAGGCAGATGTTTCCCAGCTGTGCCACTTGTTTGTTCTGTGACGTTGGGTAGGTAGCTTGCCGTTTCTAGGTTTTAGCTTTCACCTTCTGTAAAATAAGGCTGCCGGTGAAGGGCTCAGAGCATTTGCAGCCCAAGCAGCGGAAAGCAGCCTCTTTCTGCTGTAGACCGTGGGAAAGTGGCCTTGTTGGCAAGCCTGCCGTCTGCATTCCATGCTCAATTTCCTGCCCTGGAGAGGGGTAGGAGGCAGGCACGTCACCTTGCACCCAGATCCCAGGCCAGTGGGAAGACATGCCCATCCCAGAACCCCGAGGCTGCTGACAGAATTGGGTGGTGATTAGGACTTGCTGGGGGCCGCAACAATCTGATTTCCAATCTCCATCTCTCTCTAGCTGTGAGCTCTCTGGTTAGTGCTGCCCCTGATCTGAGTAGCCTCTGCACAATGGGGATAGTACCCACTCCCCATGCAGTTACCGAAAAGATCAAATGAGATGTGTGTAAATGCTTAGAGCAGTGCTGGGCACATATTACATACTCAGTGCTACTTTTTATTATTGGCTTAATTATTTAAATCAAATATTAACCTCCTACCTAATGTAGGAATTCTCTCTACAGCGTATCAGACAACTGGCTATTCTCACTCTGCTTGAATGCTTCCAGTGACAGGGGACTCACTACTTCTCCCAGTAAATTGTTTCACTAGTAGATAGTGCTTCTGGAATTTTATGGAATTTTAAAGCTGAGAGGAACGTTATAAATCAAGTGTAACTGCCTCATGAGAAAACCCAAGTTCAAGAGGTGAAATGAGGCCGGGCATGGTGGCTCACGCCTGTAATCCCAGCACTTTGGGAGGCTGAAGCAGGTGGATCACCTGAGGTCAGGGGTTCGAGACCAGCCTGGGCAATATGGTAAAACCCTGTCTCTACTAAAAATACCAAAGTTAACCAGGCATGGTGGTGCATGCCTGTAATCCCAGCCACTTGGAGGCTGAGGCATGAGAATCACTTGAACCCAGGAGGTGGAGGTTGCTGTGAGCCAAGATTGCATCACTGCACTCCAGCCTGGACAACAGATCGAGACTCTGTCTCAAAAAATAAATAAATAAATAAATAAATAAATAAATAAATAAAATTCTACCTTCAAAATTACTGTCTCCTAATACTTTATAACTACTATGTAGTTTGAAGATGATCTGTTCTCTCTCTGGAAGCTTTTAGAGCTTTCTCCTTGTCTTTTATTATCATTATTATTATTATTATTATTATTATTATTATTATTATTATTTTGAGAGAGGGTCTCACTCTATGGCCCAGGTTGGAGCGCAGCAGTGCATGATCACAGCTCACTGCAGCCTTGACCTCCTGGGCTAAAGTGATCCTCCTACCTGAGCCTCCCCAGTAGCTAGGACTACAGGCAAGTGCCACCATGACTAGCTAATATTTTTTTAATATTTTGTAAAGATAGATAGGGTCTCAAAATGTTGTTCAGGCTTGTCTCGAACTCCTGGCCTCAAGTGATCCTCCCGCTTTGGCCTCGCAAAGTGTTGGGATTACAGGCATAAGCCACTGTGCCCAGTCTCCTCATTATTTTTATTTATTTTTTTTTTACTTAATATTTTTAAATTTTATAGTTGTACCTAGGAATTGATTTTTCCTTATCTCTTGTTAGCTCTTCTTTATAAGTCTTTTCAAATAAGGTCATTTTTTTGGAAATGTATCTCCATTATTTGTTCAAGTATTTCCTCCATTCTATTTTTCCTTCTTACGCCAGCTGAATTTATTGCTCAGGTGTTCGCACTTTTATGTTTATCATCCACATTTCCAAGCTTTTCTTCTCTATTTCTTATGTTTTAGTCTTATTGTGAGACTGCCACAATCATGTGTTCATATATTCTTTCTTCAACTATATCCATTCTATTTCATTTGTCAAATTTGATTAATTTCCATTTATCAAATTCTTTGTTTTAACTATTTTATTTTTCCTACCTAATATTTTCACTTAGTTTTTTTTATGATATCTTGTTCTTGCTGCATATTGCTAACATTTTCTCTTGTCTCCTATTTAAGGAGCATTATTAGATTTTGGGACCTTCTGCTTCAACATGTGTGATCAGATGATACGTGCTGCTTGTGTAGACTTTTCCTCCTCAACTGTCCAGTTATTTGGCTGTGGGCTCATTTTCCTTTGGGAAAATGTTTGGTCTTACATACTGGGAGGGGCCAAGGCCAGCCTCATCTGTGTTGGTCCCGGCCATGTGAGGACTGAGAATCCAGGGATCACAGACCCCTTAGTGAATCCCTGTCTGAGGCCAATCCACTAGTCACTCCTTTGGCTGGAGTTTTCACTTTTGAACCCTTAGGAGGAAATAAGATAATCTACAGTCCTGGCAATTTGGTTGGAAGTACCATGAAGGAACTACCTGAGGGCTGTCTGTGTCTATTTTTGTGAATTCTCTCCCATGCCCCCGCAGAGTCTGTGTTGCTGATATGAGTGGACAATGCTCCGGGCACTGTTAACTGTCATGCTGAAGGAGTCAGGCTGATGACTGTCTCTCTGAAGGCAACTTGAGGGAACAAGAGCAGAATGTAAAGGCTGCCCAACCAGTTCTTCATGATGCCCAGGCTCCACCCCCACACTAATTTCAGTAGTCTTCAGTCTCAGAGAGGGTAGTGAGAAATTCCCTAATTTCCCTGCTTGGTGTTAGGAATCCATGTGTCTCTCTCCTGTCCTTCCACTGTCTGTTTAGGGTTGATTTTGAACATCTTGGCAGGGATTCTCTACCATGTAGTATCTTATTTATGTATTTATATAGAATGAATGAATGAGGTGGTGTGTTATTGTCTTTTTCTTTTCCTTTTTTTTTTTTAAACAGGATGTCACTCTGTGGCCCATGCTGGAGAGCAGTGGCATAATCACGGCTCACTGCAGCCTGGACATCTCTGTGCTCAGGTGATCCTCCCACTTCAGCCTCCCCAGTAGCGGAGATCACAGACATGTGCCACCACGCCTGGCTAATTTTTTGTAGAGACTGGGTCTGGCCATGTTGCCCCAGGCTGTTCTTGAACTCCTGGGCTCAAGCCATCCTCCTGCCTCAGCTTCCTGAAGTGCTGGGATTACAGATGTGAGCCACTGTGCCCAGCCAGTATCTTCATGTTTATAATATTTTATAGTATCTTCAACTATAAAATGGGGATAATGGTCACCTCAAACAGCAGTTGTGGATTTTGGATATTTTATATCAGTTTACAGAACAAAATAAATATTTGAAAAGTATTGAGTTTTTTTTACTTTGAAAAGACCTAATGCCTAATTTTTCTTCTCCGGGAGGGAGGAGTGTGTGGATAGGTCAGTTGGCTGATTCCATCAGCATTTTCAGCCCTGGAACAACGCTCTTTGCCGGATTGTGTTATGACTCCAAACACTATTGACATTAACTACTAACCTCCCAGGAACAGTGCCTAGCAGTTTTTCTTATTGACGGTGTTGGTACATATAGAAACCAACGCTAAGCCTCAGAAATCAAGGCTGAACTATGTGATTTCTAGTTCTAAATTTTCTCTATTTTGCTACTCAAAGTGGTCTATCCATCCATGTGGTCAAGTTTGAGGAGCACAGGCTGCAATGTGGGCAATCACAAACCTTCCAGGAAAACTGTACTCGTGCTTTACGTGTTATAGTTTACAAAGTTTCTTTCTTTCTCTGCTTTATTTTCCCTCCCTCCCTCCCTTCCTTCCTTCCTTCTTTCCTTCCTTCCTCCTTCCCTCCTTTCTCTTTCTCTGTCTCTTTCTCTCTTTCTTTCTTTTCTTTCTTTCTTCTTTCTTTCTTTTTTCTTTCTCCTTCTTTCCTTCCCTCCCTCCACCCTTCCTCCTTCCCTCCTCTCTTCTCTTCTCTTCTTTTCTCTTCTCTTCTTTTTCTTTTCTTTCTCTCCCTCCACCTCCAGGGTTCAAGTGATTCTCCTGCCTCAGCCTCCCAAGGAGCTGGGATTACAAGCAGGCACCACCATGCCTGGCTAATTTTTGTATTTTTAGTACAGACAGGGTTTCACCATGTTGGCCAGGTTGGTCTCAAACTCCTGACCTCAAGTGATCCGCCTCCCCCGACTTCCCAAAGTGCCATACAAATTTTAGGATCTTTTTTTAATTTCTGAGAAAAAATATCGTTGGAATTATTACTATTATTATTTTGAGATGGAGTTTCGCTCTTGTTGCCCAGGCTGGAGTGCAATGGCACCATCTCGGCTCACCACAACCTCTGCCTCCTGGGTTCAAGCGATTCTCCTGCCTCAGCCTCCTGAGTAGCTGGGATTACAGGCATGGGCCACCGCGCTTGGCTGATTTTGTATTTTTAGTAGAGACGGGGTTTCTCCATGTCGGTCAGACTGGTCCCGAACTCCTGACCTCAGTTGATCCACCCGCCTTGGCCTCCCAAAATGCTGGGATTACAGGCGTGAGCCACTGTGCCCTGCTCTATCATTGGAATTATGATGGGGATGGCGTTGAATCTGTAGATTGCTTTGGGTAGTATGGATATTTAAACAATGTTAAATCTTTCAATACATGAACATGGCATGACTTCCCATTTATTTGCATCTTCAGTTCCTTTCATCAATGTTTCAGAGTTTTCAGTGTAGAGATCTTTCACTTCCTTGGTTAAATGTACTCCTAGGTATTTAACTTCTTTTTAACTACTATAAATGGGATTGCTTGCTTGCTTTCTTTTCTTTTTTTTTTTTTTTGATAACTTGTTGTTAGTGTATGAAAAATGCTACTGATTTTTGCATTTTGACTTTGCATCTTGCAACTTTACTGAATTTGTCTATTAGTTCTAACAGGTTTGGGGTGGTATTTCAATTATTTTAATGATGAAACCAAGGTCCGGAAAGGTGACAAACTTGTCTAAAATCCTGTGGCTAGAGCCAGGTTAAATCCCATCTTCAATCTCAACTAGTAGGGTAATACTTTCTGATTTTTAAGCGTGTCAAATGTATCACCAGTATGCATGGTGATTTTAGGTAATAATTATCCTTTCTTTTCATATGTATTAGAAAAAATATAATGAACAAACCAAGTCTGGAATTTCATAGTTATCCTTGTTTAGGAATTTTTTTTTAAAAGTGAATTTCTGGCCAGGTGCAGTGGCTCATGCCTGTAATCCCAGCACTTTGGGAGGCTGAGGCCGGCAGATCATTTGAGGTCAGGAGTTTGAGACCAGCCTGGCCAACATAGTGAAAACCCATCTCTACTAAAAATATAAAAATTAGCCGGGCATGGTGGTGGGCGCCTGTAATCCCAGCTACTTGGGAGGCTGAAGCAGGAGAATCGCTTGAACCTGGGAGGTGGAGATTGCAGTGAGCCAAGATTGCACCACTGCACTCTAGCCTAGGAAACAGAGTGAGACTCAGTCTCAAAACAGACAAACAAACAAACAAAAAAAAAAACCAAAATACTTGTAATCATAAATAATAAATTCAGATGTATTGTAGACATGATTAAAGTTGTGGAGGTGACCCCTATGTGCTTGAGATTTAGGTAACTCTTCCTTACCTTACATTATAGATGCCATTCCTCTCATTTATAACAATGTTAAGATTTCTTCAATTTAATCCTGTGCAATGTATGAATACAAGGAAAAAGTAAGTAAATGTTCATTCATGAATATTTCCCTGAACAGCATTTTTGTTTCTTTCTTACTTTTAAAAATTACTTTTCCATTTCCCACACCTATGTAACTGAACAGTATTCATTGTATACCAGAAGTATTTCCCTTAATCCAACATAATGACTTACTACAAATAGAAATGAGGCAATTGATGTACTTAATCCTTTATAAAAGCTTAGAAGCCATCTTAAAATGCTTCGCAGAAGTAGCAAATACAGTATTTTGAGTAGGATTTTCAAACGCTTACTGTGGAATCAGAGCACAAATCTCCTCTCCAAGAAGAGAAATGTGAACATTAAAGACTCCTATTGTCCAGCGTGGATGAAAATGGAAACATAATTCACAACTTGTTGTGGACAAGGATCCTCACAGAGAGAATGTTTCCATTGTCTTAAAGTGTGTTACTCAGCTACCCTACTAGCATTTTTTTCACTGTGCTGACAAGAAAGGGAAGGAAAAATATTCACAACCCAGGTTGCTAAACTAAGAGCTTTAATTAATGAGACTCCAGAAAGGGCCCTAGCAAGATAAAAATGTGATTGCACTGTGCTCTCTGACCTCAGTTGCAGGTTCTTTGACTTCTCTTTCGTGTTCTCAGACCCTCAGTGTAAAGATATAAGGGCTTTCTGAGATTGCAAGTTGTTTTTCTAAAAAGCCTCTTTACACATCTGGAATATAACCTCTTAAACCTAACCCAGGCTTATGTTAACACCGTGGCTTTAAAGCATGTTTAGACTGCGTGGAATCATAAACATGTTGAATGTAGGAAACACTGTTAGTTTATAAATTGGGCCTGCTATTAAGTTCTGAGGTCATTAGTCTGTTTTTTTTTTTGTTTTGTTTTGCTTTGTTTTTGTTTTTTTGTTTTTTGTTTTGTCCTTACTTTTTTATTTTTCCAAACTATATGTGCCTTGCAAATCTAAGGGGTGGGTAAGAAAACAGTTTAGCCTGGTTTTTTTCCATGGTTGCTTCCACCAAGATGGCTCTGGCCTTTTCTCATCCAAAATCAACATAAAGCTGTTTCTCCCATATCACCACCATGACTACCACACAAAGCCAGGATGTCTATTTTTAAATTTGTTGCTTCACAGACTTACTACTAAACTCCTGGATAATGGGGGAGGTGGGCAACACGACGCCCAGAATCATGTCTGTCTGTGTGATACTGGGCAAGTTACTTTACCTCGCTGAGATGTTTATGGTTCTATGAATGGAATGATCTGCACCATTTGCTCACTAGATCCCCCTTTGCAACTAAGCCATGATAATACCCCAAATAAGATGACAGGATTTTATACAGGCATGCCTGCATATTGACGTTTTGATCAATGACACACAGCACGTATGACCCTGGTTCTATAGGATTAGAACACCACATTTTTACTGTACCTTTTCTATGTTTGGCTATTTTTTGCTTGTTTTGTTTTTTGAGAGAGTCTCGCTCTGTTGAACAGGCTGGAGTGAAGTGGCCCAATCCTGGCTCACTGCAAGCTCCACCTTCCGGGTTCAAGCCATTCTCCTGCCTCAGTCTCCCAAGTAGCTGGGATTACAGGCACCTGCCACCATGCCTAGCTAATTTTTGTATTTTTAGTAGAGACAGGGCTTCACCATGTTGGCCAGGCTGGTCTTGAACTCCTGACCTCAGGTGATCCGCCCACCTCGGCCTCCCAAAGTACTGGGATTAAAGGCGTGAGCCACTGTACCCAGCCTGTTTGGCTTTTTTTTTTTTTTTAATCCCATCCTAAAGAAAAGCTAGGTACACAAATACTTACCATTGTGTTACAGTTACCTTCAGTATTCAGTACTACTCTATATGCTGTTTGGGTTTGTAGCCTACGGGCAACAGACTGTACCATATAGCCTCAGTGCGTAGTCAGCTCTGCCATGTAGGTTTGTGAGTACACCCTATGAGATCTGCACAGTGATGCACTCACCTAATAATGCATTTCTCAGAATGCATCCCCGTTGTTAAGTGATGCATCCTGGACTTTGTGCATTAAAAAAATGCCAGAACACTCCATACTTAGTGCATAGACTTTATCAAATGTTGAATAAAAACAGAAACAAAAAGGAGACAATCCTACAATGAAAAGGAGACACTCATGTCTACCCTAGTGATTCACTGTACGTGGAGGAGGTAAGTGGGGCATGAACAGGTCTACAAATATAATACATATATACCTGACAACCACAGTGCTTTGCATTTCTTTATCTGAAAAACAAACTGAGATCTGAAGTGTATAAACAGTTCCCTAGTAAAGTCTATTTGAGAAAAAGAATCAAATGTGCATCAATATATCAAAACTGACAAATACAAGAAAAGCATTCAGCTAGAGATAATTCACAGCATTTTATTAAAGTTAATCCATTTCATTCAATAATCTTCCATATTGTTCCCAGCACCACTATTACTATCATTATTTCTCTTCGGAGAAGACCAGGTATTAAGAAATCGGGTTTGAATTTCCATGATGCCTAACTCTATGGTCAAAAATCCCTTTCCTTACCAAAAACCAACTTCTTAATCACCAGAGAAAAGAGGGAAAGACTGAGATATATTTGCAGAAATTTATGTCCACTAGAGACAATTCATAGTTCATAATCTTTCAGGCTTGTGCTTTACTTGGTGGCTCTCTTTTGGGGAGGGGGTTGTTTCTTATAAATGTTTGTCTAATACAAATCACTTGCCCCACTGGACCACGGAAGGGAAATGAGGGCTAGTCCCCAGAGAGCAAGCAGGCAGTCCTCCTGGGAAGAAGCCCTCATGGCTCCTAGTGGTGACACAGTCATTCTGCCAGGATGAGGGGACACAGTCATTCTGCCTCCCCAACCTCTGAGCAATAATAAAATATAACCAAGTGAGAAGGAGAGGTACTAACTAGCTGGATAATCCATGGGCTAGAATCTCTAAACAGGAATGTTTATGTGTTTTGAATAAATCAGAGCTGGAAAGAGACACTTTTGGAGAAGTGATGGAGAATAGAAAAGTATGAAAAAGATAAAGGTTTCTTACCAAGGAACCCACAAAAAAAGGTGGTACCAGTCAAAGGTAGTCTTGGGCTTTTCTTTTGAGATGAGTGTACCCCACATGGGTTGTGCCATTTTCATATAAAAATTGGAATGATAATGAACAAGTGAAAGTGAAATCAGTTTCCCTCCTTTGTTCAATAAACATGGATAGAGTACCTGTGTGCAAGGTAGTGGGACAGGTGCTGAGGGGAAAGGTAAAGCTGTTTAAGCTGTGGCCCTGAGCAGAAAAAGCAATCTAGCAGCGCCATCAGACTGCACACTGCAGAGCAGAGTGTCCCAAGGGCCAGGTGGAGGGAAGGATCGCTTCCAGCTGCAGCATCAGGGAAGGCACTCTGCAGTCTCCCCTGTGGGTTCTCAGTGTGCCTGTGTGAGCGCTCAGCTTGACCCATTCCAGGCACTTGCTCATCTTCCTTATCTTTCTCTCTAGCGTGAGAAGTGGAAGTTTAAGAGGACAAGATCCTGCCTCACAGGTACCTAATAAATGTGTGTGGAATTGACGTATGGTGGAGGTGTCACTTTATCTGGTGCAGCAAGGCGGAAAGAGCTTTGGGAAAGGAGAGCAAAGATGGTGGTGGTGAGCGTAAGGTGTTTTCATCAGAAGGCGAGAGCAAGGGTATACAAACCAAAAAGTCAATTTAGTATGTGGCTTAGCCCAGAGCACACGAGGGCACCAGCACAGCCAAAGTCCATAAGAAGGTAGCTGAAGTTCTCTGCCAAATAGGACTGAAAAGCTAAAATCTTTCTCAGTTTCTTTCTTAAGCAACAACTGGTCTATTCAAGCTCAACCAGAGCATTTAAGGGAAAAAATGACTAATGAGAGGCTCTTAAATAGTTTTGAAGGACAGACACTTTCTAGAAAGTAGAAAAGATCACTGAGTAAATACTGCACCTCCCTTACCCCCACAAACACACACAAAAAAGATGAGGATGTGTAGAGCAAGCTTGTGGACATCCTCAAGTTTGGTTTTGATGCTTCTGTTGGTAAGCAGTCAAGATGGTGAGAGATGCTATCCCAAAGAGGAAAGTCTGTAGGAACCAGAGTAGCTGAGCATGACCACTTGTGATGCCTTTATGCCTAAAAAAGAAAAAACAAAATTTAAACACCAGAATGTTAATCTTACAGTTTCATGGGAATTATTGTCTTCTATATCATTTTTTAAAATTTATACCTTCCATTACTTTCATTGGGTTTATTTTGCTGCTTTTCTCTGGCTTCTTATCTTGGATGGTTTGTTTATTTTTCTTCTTTCTTCTTTTCTAATAAATGTATTTTGGATGGTACACTATTCCTGAGAACCAGTCTGGCTGGCTACTCTCTGGGGCACAGTATTATAAGACTGTTTCTCATGTGATTCTGATGGGTGGATGGAGTAAAACGTACTGGTATGGCTTCAGATCAAATGTTTTGAAGATAGACCAGATGTAAATCCTAGCGTGGCTACCTACCAGCTGTGACCTGGGCAAATCACTCAGTATCTCTCCGAATCAGTTTTCTCAGCTGAAAAACAAGAATGGCAGTAGCTAGCTCATTGAGTGTTGAGATAATTTATGGGATAATACACACAAAGTGCTCAGAAAGGAGCCTGGCACACACTCATGATAAACACCTGCTTATATTGTCATTGAAATTCAATTGCTTAAAACGAAGTGCAAAAAAAAAAAAAAAAAATGACCCAATGGAAGTGAATGGCTTGCCACAGTCTCATCTGTATATAAATAAGTCTTATTTGGATGACTTTTATTTATAATTTTAAAAACAATATATGTAAAAACAGTATAATTTTCTACATTAACAGATTAAAGGAGAAAGATCACATGAATATCTTAATAAATGCAGAAGTGGCATTTGATAAATTCCACTATCTGTTCTTTTTCCACCCCCTCAGAGATGGGGTTCTCACTCTATCACCTACAGTGGAGTACACTGGTACAATTACAGCTCACTGCAGACTCAAATTCCTGGGCTAAAGTTATCCTCCCACCTCAGCCTCCCAAGTAGCTGGGATCATCACAGGCATGCACCACCATGCCTGGCTAGGTTTCTTTTTTTTTTTCTTTTCTTTTTTTGTAGGGACAGTGTCTTGCTTTGTTGTCCAGGCTGGTCTTGAACTCCTGGCTTCAACTGATTCTCCTGCCTCAGCCTCCCAAAGTGCTGGGATTACAGGTGTGAGCCACCTGCGTCCACACCTAACATCCATTTTTAATAAATGTTCTCACAAAGTTAGAAATACAATGGAACTTCCCAATTTTGATAGAGGAGATCTACAAAACTCTAGAATAAACATGACGCAAAATGTTGAAAGTTCTCCTTTGAGGTCAAGAACAGGGCACACTTCTAGTCAGCACTGCTGGAAGTTCTAGGCAATAGAATAAGGGAAGAAACATAAATTAAAGTTATACGCAATTGAAAGAAAGAAATAAAACTGTATTTCTGGACAGTTTTATACCTGAAAAACTGAAAATAATCTACAAACTATTAGAATTAATAAATTTATTTAGCAAGGTTGCTGGGTATAAGGTCAATATAAAAAATGGACTATATTCATAAAAACTACCATCAAACAATTAGAAAATGAAAAAAAGTGAGCCAAGATCACGCCACTGAACTCCAGTCTGGGAGACAGAGCTAGACTCCATCTCAAAAAAAAAAAAAAGTTGGTGCGGTGGCTCAGGCCTGTAATTCCAGCACTTTGGGAGACTGACACAGGCGAATCGCTTGAGCCCAGGAGTTTGACACCAGCCTAGGCAACATAGTGAGACCCCATCTCTCTAAAAAAGTCATTTATAATAGCATCTCAAAGTAGAAGCAGCTGGAAATTAATCTAACAACAGTGTGTAAAACCTCTTAAAAAATTATAGGTATATTAAAGGAGATCTAAATAAATGGAGACAGATCATTTTAACATTTAGAAGACTCAATAATAGAAATATGTGATGCTTTCCTGACCTTAAGGGAAAAGAAAAAAAATGTGATGGAAATATGTCAATATTCTCCAGATTGGTTCACATGGTCAATCCAATAAAAATCTCAACAGCTTTATTTTTTGTTTTTGAACACAGGACAATGCATAGAATAAAAAGGTGTAGGAAAAGGCAATCCTATTGCACAAGATAAGAGGACATGCTTTATCAGATAACAATGATTATAAAGTTGCTGCTATTAATAGAGTGTTGTGTTAGCCCAAGGATAAACAGGCCGATGGAAAAGAATAGAGTGTTAAGAAACAGGTCCATACATATAAGTAAAGACAGGGCACATCAATGAAGACTGAAAGTCTCAAGAAATAGCTCTGGGATAACTGGGCATCCAGATGGAAAAGGTAAAGTTGGAAACCTCTCTCTTACAAAAAAAAGCTCTAGGTAGAATGAAAACTTAAATGTCAAAAAAAAATTCTAAAACTCTTAGAAGATACTGTAAAAGAATATAACTTTAATACAAATAAATGAATAAAATTGACTAAATTCATAAACTTCTGTTTATCAAAAGGCCCAACAGAATAAAAAGACCATGAGAAAGGATATTTGCAAAACATCTAAATGACAAGGTACTGAAGATCAGAAAAAACAAGCAGCGCCTATGAGAAGGTAAGCAAAGGACAGACAGCCCATTAGAACATTGGTGAGATTGTGGGGAAATGGGCATTATCATATACTTCGGTTAGAAGCATAAATTAGTCCCACAGTGTTGAAGGCTATATGGCAATACATATTATAATTAAAAGGTCATTCTTTTTTTTTTTTTTTTTTAGATGGAGTCCTGCTCTGTCGCCCAGGCTAAAGTGCAGTGGTGCGATCTTGGCTCACTGCAACCTCTGTCTCCCGGATTCAAGCAATTCTTCTGCCTCAGCCTCCTTAGTAGCTGGAATTACATGTGCCTGCTACAATGCCAAGCTAATTTATGTGTGTGTGTGTATTTTTAATGGAGACAGGGTTTCACCATGTTGGCCAGGCTAGTCTTAAATTCCTGACCTCAGGTGAACCACCAGCCTCAGCCTCCCAAAGTGCTGGAATTACAGGTGTGAGCCACAGTGCCCAGACAAAATTATTCATTCTTTAATCTTCAAATTCCAGATCTTGGAATTTTTTCCAAGGGAACAAATACCAAAGTGGGACAAATACATGAAATTCATGTTCATTGCTGTATTGCTTGTAATAGTAAAAATGTAGAGACTTAAAAGTCCATCAGAAGGAGGATTTCTTAAACATATTAAGGCACATCTATATAATAGAATTCTATGCACTAATATTAATGGATGAGTAAGTTTATACGTATAAACATAGACAAATAGGCATATGTTAGTCCAGCGCAGTGGCACACCTGTAGTCTCAGCTACTTGGGAGGCTGAGGCAGGAGGATCACTTGAGCACGGGTGCTCAAGGCCAGCCTGGGCAACATGGTGAGACCCATCTCTTAAAAAATAAAATAAAATACAATTTAAAATAGGCATATATGACAATGGAAACCAATTATAGAAGAGATTATATCTATATGTATATATATAATTGGATTACAGGCATGAGCCACCACTCCTAGCAACTTTCAATTTTATAAACTGAGTTTTTAACAACATTATTAACTTAAAAATAAACGTGTTTGTTTTGAAATGGGCAAAACAACAAAAATATTTTGTTTTGGAAAATAAATTTATATGATCCTGTAAATGTGTAAGATACTTAGGAAAGAAAAATAAAGATGAGTTGGCATCTTGGAAGAGCAGGCTCACTCAACAGCAGTGCTTGTTTCCTCCTCCTTCAGAGGGGTCACAGCTGACGGCCAGGTAACCCGGAGAAGGGTTTTCCTGGGGTCATCATAACTTGTTCTCATTCACGCACCTTTATCTGTATTCTCAGCTCATTTTACCTATTTAAAAGACAAAAGTCTTTTAAGAAAGTTTTCTTAATTTAATTCGCATTCCATTAATGATTCTACCAAGACCCAGGCAGATGTAAAAATCTCTTTGTGAGTATACTGTTTCCTGCCTTAGGAAAAAATGTTACTTCTGATACTTGAAAATCTTCACAATTTACCTGTTTTGGTCACTCGAGGCTGCCCTATCACAGAGGACTTCCACTTGTCAAGAACTTCTATTCTGTTTCTACATGGTAATAAAATCTACTCTACATATAAGTGTTTGCAAGAACTGAAAAACCTTTCTCAGGGCTGCAGAGCCAACTGGGGTAAACAAGCAGCAAGAATCTAATTTCTGAACTAAGAGAATAAGCCGTATATTCTGAATGGAAAACTCCAGGTTGTAAAAAGTTAACAATGAACATGAATGTTGGCCTCAAAGAGATACTATTTTATTTATTTATCCCTAAGGAAAAACCGTTCTATTTTTCTTGTTAAAATATTATTATGTAACAAGAACTACAAGCACCTTTCAAAGAAGAGTTGAACCTCACTTCGTAATCAAATAAATACAAGTTAAAATGGCTAGATACCCTTTTTAATCTACCAAAATAGCAAAGGGTTTTTGCCCCCCATCATCAAAAATGGCCCTTTTTTTTTCTTTTTTTTTCTTGAGACAGACTCTCACTTTGTCACCCAGGCTGGAGTGCAGTGGTGCAATCTCGGCTCACTGCAATCTCTGCCTCCCAGGTTCAAGCAATTCTCCTGCCTCAGCCTCCCAAGTAGCTGGGATTACAGGCGTGCGCCACCATGCCTGGCTAATTCTTGTATTTTTAGTAGAGACGGGGTTTTATAATGTTGGCCAGGCTTGTCTCGAACTCCTGACTTCAGGTGATCTGCCCACCTTGGCCTCCCAAAGTGCTTGGATTACAGGTGTGAGCCTGGCCGGAAATGGCACTTTCATAGAATGGTAGTGGAAATGTAAAATGCTGAAACCCTACTGAAAGCAATTTTGCAGTAAGTATCAAGAGCTTTATAACTGTTATTTCACTCAGTAATTCTACATCCATGGATTTACCCTAAGGAAGAAAATAAGAAATACATAAAATGGTTAAAGAGTAAATGTGCATTGTTAGAAGGTTAAATAATTATGGGATATACAATTACAGGAGTCCTTTGCAATCTTTAAAATTATTTACCAAGATATTTTAAAAACATGGGAAACTATTTCATATTATGATTATGGCACTTATAAAGTCAAACATGTAGTCCAATCTTATCTCTAGTGAAAAGGAATTCACCAAAAAAGTATTTACCGTATTTTTTAAAACATAAGAGACTTCATATGGATAGCTTGACTGTGCATTGAAATTCTTATTTAGGGCCTAACACAGAGGAGGAAGTGTTTGCTAAATGTTGATTTCCTGCTACCTGTTTTTTTCCTCCAAGATCGTTTCTGTATGTGTCTGGGGTCCAGAAGAGTCCAGAATACTGTTTTGCACATGTTGCTTACTGAATTAAAAAATTAACACATTCATGAAAAATAAAGAAATTCACCCAAATGTTACAAGTTGTTATTTGGCAGGCTGTAAATATATACATGTCTTCATTCATCTAAATTTATTCATTCATCTCATAATTCTTTTTTTTTTTTTTTTTTTTTTTGAAATGGAATCTTGCTCTGTTGCCCAGGCTGGAGTGCAGTGGTGCGATCGTGGCTCACTGCAACCTCCGCCTCCCAGGTTCAAGCAATTCTCCTGCCTCAGCCTCCCGAGTAGCTGGAATCACATGCATGCGCCACCACGCCTCGCTAATTTTTTTTTCTTTTGCATTTTTAGTAGAGACGGGGTTTCACCATGTTGGCCAGGCTGGTCTCGAACTCCTGACCTCAGGTGATCAGCCTGCCTCAGCCTCCCAGAGTGCTGATATTACAGGCATGAGCCACCATGCCCAGTCATCATCTCATACTTCAAAAGGCGTATTTATTCTGATTTATAATAACTAATGATACATTCTAACATGTTAGACCATAAAGAAATGATTTCAAAGGCCAGGCGTGGTGACACATGCGTGTAATCCCAGCACTTTGGGAGGCCGAGGCGGGCGGATCACGAGGTCAGGAGATCGAGACTATTCTGGCTAACACGGTGATACCCCGTCTCTACTAAAAATACAAAAAAAATCAGCCAGGCGAGGGACGGGCGCCTGTAGTAGTCCCAGCTACTTAGGAGGCTGAGGCAGGAGAGTGGCGTGAATCCAGGAGGCGGAGCTTGCAGTGAGCTGAGATCGCACCCCTGCACTCCAGCCTGGGCAACAGAGCGAGACTCTGCCTCAAAAAAAAAAATGAAATGACATCAGGAACATCATAATAGTGAGCTAACCTCTATGCCTGTTCTCCCTCTGCCCTTCAAAAAAATCGTATATTAAATTTGAGCATTTTGGTTTTCATCAGATACTCCAAATGCCAAAAACAAAATAGGTGTCAGGCACTCCTACATTCCAAGTTGAGGGGCTGGGCCAGACACTTCCAATCTGAGATTCCACTGGGATGCTGCAGAGGCCATTGGAAAGAGGTCCTAGTGAGCTGTGGCGTTTCCTGCAAGTCAAGCCCAGAGAATGGCTTCAACAGGACCATTCGTAGAGCTTGACATGAGTCCCCTGGAATTTGGGGAATGGTTTAACATCTGATTCCAAAGAGTAAACACCGGTTTGGCCTGCTTGCTGGGAGAGAAGGAAGCACCGCGGCACTGCGAACTGCTCGCACTTGCAGATTATCCCACTGGAGGGATAGTTGTTTATACTGTGAGCCATACAGATCCTGGAGAAGGCCCTGGACATGAGTAGGTTTAAAAGGGACCCTGTACCACAGGCCCACCTGAAGGACGGAAGTGATCTCAATAAAAGGGTAATTCTCCCCGGAACACAAACTCTGAGGGTGAAACTGCAAGTGGCACTCTGGAGGAGGTATCTGAACAACCATCAAGGAAACTGCAGAAGGGAGATCCCAGGTGATGAACAGTGTCTCAAAATCTACTACATTCCCTCTAGAGAGAAAGAGCCAATACTGGATACACAGTATACACAGTACCCAGCTGCCTGATCGCAAGGCAGCAGCTGTTTATTGTTTTTTTAATTTTTTTTTTTTTTTTTTTTGAGACAGGGTCTTGCTCTGTGACCTAGGCTGGAGTGCAGTGTCGCGATCTCGGCTCACTGCAGCCTCTGCCTCCCAGGTTCAAGTGATTTTCATGCCTCAGCCTCCTGAGCAGCTGGAACTGTAGGCACGCACCACCATGCCTGACTTTTTTAGTATTTTTTGTATTTTTAGTAGAGCTAGGGTTTTGTCATGTTGGCCAGGATGGTCTCAAACTCCTGGCCTCAAATGATCCACCCGCCTAGGCCTCCGAAAGTGCTAGGAATATATGTGTGAGTCACTGTGCCCGGCCAGCAGTCGCTGTTTAAGGATGATCCTTGTTCTCCCTAACTATTCCCACCATCCCAAGGGACCACAAGCAACGATTACTAGTGAATAGAGGAGAAGGTGAAGTGAACTGCATCCTTCTCCCCACTGCAGGCTCCTGAGCCCCAGCTGGAAGAGAACAGACATTTTGAATTAGAAGAAAGTTTATATAGTTTTAACAAATAGAACGGGCTAGAATGGATAATATCAGATGGTGACTGGAAATCCTATGATCTGCTTGAAATTCCATCCAGAGATATGGTGGAAGGTGGGGAATAATCCACAAAGCAAATTTACTTGGAGAGGGGTGAGAAAGAAATAATAAAGTTACCTTCTGTTCCTCTTCATAGAAAGTCTAGCTTGTGGCCGGGCACAGTGGCTCATGCCTATAATCCCAGCACTTTGAGAGTCCACGGCAGGCAGATCACCTGAGAGGTCAGAAGTTCGAGACTAGCATGGCCAACATGGTGAAACCCCGTCTCTACTAAAAATACAAAAATTAGCTGGGCACAGTGGTAGGCTCCTGTAATCCCAGCTACTTGGGAGGCTGAGGAGGGAGAATTGCTTGAACCTGGGAGGCAGAGATTGCAGTGAGCCAAGATTGTGCCACTACACTCCAGCCTGGGTGACAAAGCAAGATTCTGTCTCAAAAAAAAAAAAAAATAAACAAGAAAACAGAGTAAGATAATTCTATGTAACATACTTAGCAGTCTCTGACATAGTGGTACCCAATCAATATTGATTATTTTTATTATTGAAACATAGTACTAGAGTATCTTATTTTCCACTTTTAGAAAAGAAAAATAATAGCGGTGATAGTATATCTTGACCAGAAATTAATTCAATTAATTAATACCTTGATAAATTAATTGGAAGGCAATTTGGCATTACTATAACCATGTTTTTCATTGTACCACACTTTCTGTATATGCTTATATAAAGTACAAATATAATTTTTTCTAGGGTTCTCACACAGTATTAACCTACAATAGCATCTGCTGAATGGGGTCTGGTTTGGGGGCTTTTAACTGGCATTGCCTTCTAGAATTACCTGTGGAGCTTTTAAAAATAACACATTCCCATCTCTGAGGCAAGACTTACCCAATCAGAACCTCTGGGTCTGGAAACCAGACATGTGTATTTTGAAAAAGCTCCTCAGGTGGTTCAACTGTAAAACGAGGATTGCGAGTCATTGGCCTAGGTCAGTCACTTAGCTCTTTTGAAAACTAGAAGCCAGGCTCCTAGTCTTTTAGTCTCTGAAAGAGAACCAGAGACACAGAATACCTATTAGGTCACTTAAAACCTGTTTTATTGTTGTGGTGGTGGTGGTGGTGGTGGTGGTTTTTTTGTTTGTTTGTTGGGTTTTTTTGTTTGTTTGTTTTTTGAGAAAGGCTGTGAAACAATACAAAAATAACTACAGACCAAAGAAACTCTGAACAGTCATTTGGGCCTCCATTCTTGACTTCTATTTTCTTTCTTTTTCCTTTTTTTTTTTTTTTTTTCTTTGAGACAGGGTCTCACTCTGCTGCTGGGGCTGGAGTGCAGTGGTGTGATCATGACTCACTGCAGCCTCCACCATCTGGGCTCCATCCATCCTCCCACCTCAGCCTCCCAAGTAGTTGGGACCAAATGTGCATGCCACCATGCCCAGCTACTTTTTAAAATTGTATATAGAGATGGGGTCTCACTACATTGCCCAGGGTGGTTTCCAACTCCAGGGCTCAAGCAATTCTCCCACCTTGGCTTCCCAAAGTGCTGGGATTACAGCATGAGCCACTGTGCTGAGATGACTTCTATTTTCTAAAAGCAACTCTACTGGGAGATTTATGCTGAGGAAAGTATGTGGTTATCAGACTCAGTGTCCATGGTGGATGACTTCTTTATTTTTTTTTTCTTTGTAGATACATTTTCTTAACATTTTTTTCTTTTTAAATGTTATGATAATGTACTTCAAAATGATGGAAATCTCAACAGTATAAGTATGGCTTGGTTAACGAGCAGTATGTTCACAGCCTACTTTATCTCTCCTTGCTTTTCTCACCTCTCCCTTACCCCGTTCCCTATTTCCCTGTTCTTACCTAGCCTCCCCCGACTTCCTCAAAACAAACAAGAGATGGCAAAACAGCAGTCCGACCAAGCCCACTGGAATTATCCTTTAATTTTACAGATACCACTTGCTGTAGGCTGTGGCCAAGATATCCAAAATTATTCTTGAGCACTGATATAAATTACTTAGATCTTCTTTGAGGTCAGAATTCAGCGATCATGGTAGGCAGTGCTTGAATGAGAAAAGCCTCCTGGTGCATCTTCAAAATGAGTCCTAAAGAACATACGAGTACTTATAAGTAGCAGAACATAAAATGTATTTCTGACTAAAACAAATGATCCTTTCACATGTGCTTTATTAGACTCTGGGAGAGAAAAGTAACCAAGTGCTTCAGAACAGGTTTTTAGTATTTAATTCTTCATGGTAAGATAATGAAGTTCTAATGAACTATTTCTCCCAAGGTTTTAAAATTGTCAAGAGTTACTCTATTTAAAAAATAAGAAACCTCTTTAAGCAATAGATTTTGCTTGGGTTTTCTTTTTTAAAAAAATAATACTATGGAGGCAAGACACTGTAAAAGTTTAATTCTTTCCAGAAGAACCAGTGGAAGAATTTAAATTTGTCACTACCATCAAAACTACTGAATTAGCAGAAATAACGATATCTAAAGCTTACCAACAAAAGAACCCTCAGCAGAATAGCAAAAACTTTGCTCGGGACATTTGAGGTCAAATTGAAGACGGAAACCGGAAACCATTTTCTTGTAAGCCTCTAGAGGCAGATCAGGTAAAGCATAAATAGTAGAGGGAAAGGAGAGAATGGAAATAAAACTCAATATTATGCAGATTTATGCATTATTTTTTAGCATTTTTTAAGATTGGGTCTTTCAGGCTGGTTTTGGTTTGTATTAGATCTGTATACTTTAATTAACTAATGATTTAGTTTTATATTTAAGCTACGATTAATCTTTTTTCTTTGGTGATATTTCTTTGCTTTTTTTTAAACAACTTTTAATTTTTAGATATTTTGTCGAATCTATTTAGAGCTTCACCACAGCAATATGTATTTCTCTTAAAACACTGCAAACAAATATACTAGGAGTGTGCCCTTTTAATCTTTACTATATTGTGAGATTGCTGTGTAAGCTAATTAACACATTTGTAAATACATCGTTTGCAGGAAGAAAACTTCTGAGTTACAGGTCAGGAAAAGCCTGCTGAATTTATGTTGTAAACATTACTTAACACAGCATAAAGATGAAAAGACAACAAAAATATCTTCATACTTCCTCAGCCCCTCATTGCAATAAAACCTTAAACTGGGAGAACCTTAGTCCCCTCTCTTTCCTCTTCCTCCTCCACTTCTCACTTATTGTCACCTTGTAATATTCAGAGAGCACTTGGATTATGGATCTGAATAGATAAATGCTTACAGATAATCATTAGCCCACATACCAGTAACTTACACTTAAACATGGGATGTGCTTATAAAGTGCTTTTATAATACAATATAATTACTAAAGGCAAGGGTTGACTCTTTGTTTTATTTTGACATGGCATGTCCTGAAATAAATATTGATTCACTACGGCAGGTGGGTCATATTCTTTATTTGGAAGAAGTCATGACTTCTGACATGGGGGTGATTGTCTTCCTACACGGTTGCATTTGATTCTTTTTATGTATTTTTAAGAAAGTAACCAGTTATACTGCTTTTAATATTGATTGGTCCTTTTATTTGGCTTGGAGTTCTTCAAAGCAGTGAAGTGTGTTCATAGTCCAGATTTTTTTTTTTAGTAAACACGATTTTGCTGCCAAAAATATATAAATAAAACACAAAAGAAAACAAAAATAAAAATAAAAAATGTGTTGAAAATATTAGACCATCTCCCTTTTTACCGCCTTCCCTTTTTACCCTTTACTGCCATTTACATCCACACATCCACACACACGACGCGCACACACATACCGACTAAAATTAATTTAGATGCCAGTTCTAATTATATTTAGAATCTTCCCCCCCACACACCCCTTTTTTTAATACGGAGTTTTACTCTTGTTGCCCAGGCTGGAGTGCAGTGGCGCAATCTTGGCTCACCACAACCTCCACCTCCCAGGTTCAAATGATTCTCCTGCCTCAGGCTCCCTAGTAGCTGGGATTACAGTCGCCCACCACCAGGCCCGAATAATTTTTGTATTTTTAGTAGAGGCAGAGTTTAAACATGTTGATCAGGCTGGTCTTGAACTCCTGACCTCAGGTGATCTGCCCACCTCGGCCTCCCAAAGTGCTGGGATTACAGGTGTGAGCCACCGTGTCTGGCCTTATAATCCTTTTAAGAAGAAAGAACATCCTTAATTTTTTGAAAAGACTATTCTGTGTCCGTTTTATAATTTTTTGGCCACTGAAAAAGATATGTCCAATCATAGACACAGTGAATATAACAGATGGTAGTTTCAAGTGTCGACTTTTGGTCTGGTGTGGTGGCTTACGCCTGTAATCCCAGCACTTTGAGAGGCTGAGGCAGGTGGATCACCTGAGGTGGGGAGTTCAAGACCAGCCTGGCCGACATGGTGAAGCCTACAAAAATTAGTGGGGCGTGGTGGCGCATTTCTGTATCCCAGCTACTCAGGAGGCTGAGGGAGAAGAATCGCTTGAACCCAGGAGGCCCAGGTGGCAGTGAGCCAAGATCACGCCACTGCACTCCAGCCTGGGTGACAGAGTGAGACTCCCTCTCGAATAAATAAATAAATGAAATGTTGAATTTTTACAAGTCGTTGTTCCCATTCAAATTTTTGAATGCAACAGCAGCCTCTTACAAAACAGCCTTGTTAAACTAATTTGCTGATGTTAAATTCTTAAGTAAAAGGGGAATTCCACAGGAATTTATATTGCTCTTTTATAAATCTCTTGAACCTGGGAGGAGGAGGTTGCAGTGAGCCAAGATCAGGCCATTGCACTCCAGCCTGGGTGACAGAGTGAGAGTCTGTCTCAAACAAAAATAAAAATAAAAAAGAGGAAAAATCAGGCACAAGTATGCAGAGAAAGGTGAAGTGAGTAAAGGGTCTAACCTATAACTTTGAATTCCAAAGCTTGAGCTGATCCTCCAAAACACAGGAAATGCTACTTGCTTGTGAAATTAGTGTGCTTTTCATAAAAAGTAGAAAGTATTTGCACAGGTTTATGCAGTCCTGAGGGGCAGAGATGAATCTGTCATTTGCAGATATGAAGACAGCTCAAGGTGGTGATCCTGGACATTCAGGAGGGGAAATTAGACACGAGATCCGGGGCTGGATGCTTACTGAATTAGCCAGTCCCTGGGTCACTCAGGGGAAACCTATGCTGATTTCTGGAGCTCTTTCTTTGTATAGTCCATTATTTTAAATTTGAGATGCTCACTTAGCCCTCCTAAAATAATGTTTCTCTCTCTTCAATTCAGGGACTTCTCCAAGCTCTGTCTGGGTTCTGCTGTCAATGGTGTTGTCCAGTAAGTATCCCCAGGCAGAAATAAGAGGCTATTGTAGGGGTTGCATTGTTTGTGTCTCTTCTCAACTGGAGAAAAACAGTCCTTAGCTGCTGATTGTCTAATGTTTGAAAATGATTTTTTATATAGTTTGTCTAGTTTTCTAGTTCTTTATAGTGGAATCAGTCATTAGCTCCTGATTAGAATCTCTCATCTACTGAACTTTTTATTTTAATTTAAAACTTTTTAAAATGTTATATTTTAATTTTGTTACAGAATATAGTAATACATTATCCTAGTGTAAAATTTAAAAGGTAAGTAATACATAGTAAAAAAAAAATTCCTCCCACTTTCACTCCCGGAAGTAACTGATGTTACAAAATTTTTCTGTCTTTTAAAGTTATTATATGTATCTACAAAACAAAACACAGGAAACTAGCCATAATAAAATAATGGGGTCTAAAGGAATTCAATCACATAAAATGTTAGGTCAAATTTATTGTGAGATTAATAAAAATTATACTTTTGTTAAACTATTTCTCTCACAAAAAGCACAAAATGATTGTGAAACTTACAGCACACGTTGCTGACTAGTGAGCTGAGTAACCGCCATTGATTGTGAGGCAGTGACTTCTATGTCCTCTTCCCCATCTCATTACTTACAAGTCATGTATAAGAGTCTCCTTTGTTCTATAATTTCTCTGACAGTTGTGATTGAAATTTTCAATTTTTGTCAAGCTGGCTAATGTAAAACATCATCCTGTTCTATGTTTAATAGCATTTCCCTGATTACTAATATAAAGCATTATATATTGTGTATTCATGTTTCATATTTTGTATAATGTCTATATCCTTTGTTCATTATTTAATTGTGTTATTTGTATTATTCTTTATGTATTATTCTTTAACACATTGCTGTTTATATGTTGGTTATATTTTACATTTTCTTCTAGTTTATGGGAAGTCTTTTTCTTTTCCTAAGGCAATCTGTTGATAAATATAACCTGTGAATATTAAAGTTATTAAAGTTATCAAACATTTGAGATAAATTTATTCATTAGCTCTTTATGAGTTATTGGTTTTTTTCAGGTTAAAAGAAATAACTTCTTTTTTTGTTTTTTGATGTGAAGAACTTGGTGGAGAAATTAAAATTTCAGATGCAGAAAAAGAAGCAAGAAAATTTCTGGAATGACAGGCATGAGTAGATAACAGGTGTGATGGTTAATACTGAGTGTCACCTTGCTTGGATTGAAGGGTGCAAAGTATTGTTCCTGGGTGTGTCTGTGAGGGTGTCACCAAAGGAGATTAACAGTTGAGTCAGTGAACTGGGAGATGCAGACCCACTCTCAGTCTGGGTGGTCACCCTCTAATCAGCTGCCAGCACAGCTAGGATAAAAGCAGGCAGAGGAATATGGAAGGGCTCGACTGGCTCCACCTTTCTCCCATGCTGGTTGCTTCCTGCCCTCAAACATCAAACTCCAAGTTCTTTCAGCTTTTGGACTCTTGGACCTACACCAGGGGTTTGCCAGGGGCTCTCAGGCCTTCGGCCTCAGACTGAAGGCTGCCCGGTTGGCTTCCCTACTTTTGGGATTTGGGGACTCAGACTGGCTTTCTCGCTCCTCAGCTTGCAGACAGCCTATCGTGCAACTTCACCTTGTGATTGTGTGGTCAATACTCTTTAATAACTCATTTTATATATACATTTATCCTATTAGTCATGTCCCTCTAGAGAATCCTAATACAACAAGACAGAGCACCTAGTCACAGTGAGAGGGGTGGACATTATTTAGAAGCAAAGACAGTTCATCCATATGAAAAGGAGAGATAACAGAATGTAGGTATAGATATATAAAGATGAGCAGATGAAGAGACTGGAGATTTTGAAATTCTTGTCAAATGACCACTTTCTTTTTTTACAAGTGAAATTGAAAATAAAGTCATCAGTAAAGAGTTAAGATGGGAAGGAGAGAAAATAAGTATGAACTGTTACTGTGGGAAAGGATGAGAGTGAATGGGGCAGGGAATATTTTTTTCTGGGAAACATAAAGACAGGAGCTTTGTGATCATGAATTTCAGTTGAAACAAATTAACCTGATTCCCTCTTACTCTATTTTAAATTTCAGTTTTATTTATTTAAAAATCTGAACGTAATATCCATAATTATAGTATTATACAGAAGAGTTTCACTGCCCTAAAATTCCTCTGTGCTCCATCTGTGCGTCCCTTTGTCCCCCATAACTCCTGGCAACCACTGATTTTTTTTAACTGTCTCCATAGCTTTGCCTTTCCCAGAATGTCATGTAGCTGGAGTCATACAGTACATAGCATTTCCTGATTGGCTTCACTCAGAAACATGTATTTGAGATTGCTTAATGTCTTTTTATGGCCTGATAGGTCATTTCTTTTTAATGCTGAATAACATTTAATTATTTGGATGTATTACAGTTTATCCATTTACCTAATGAAGGACATCTTGGTTGCTTCCAAGTTTGGCAATTATGAATTAAACCGCTATAAACATTATCGTGCAGGTTTTTGTGTGGACATGTTTTCAATTTCTTTGGGTAAATACTAAGGAGCATTATTGCTAGATTATATGATAAGAGTTTGCTTAGTTTTGTAAAAAGCTGACCAACTGTCTTCGTAAGTGGTGTAACATTTGCATTCCTACCAGCATCACCAGCATTTGATGCTGTCTGCCTTTCATATTCATCAGGCTTAATCTTCATAATTGTGCTGTACTTACTTTTAAAATGAAAGTCTTCAATTCATCCCCTGCTTTGTTTCTTAAACAATCTTGAATGAGTTCTTTAAAGTCTAAAAATCTCCAGAAAGTAAAAGTATTAACTATATATTGAGAGCTGAAGTTTGCAGAGCAAAGGAGTGACACTAAATTGGTGATGATCTAAAACCTCAGCTGAAAATTCTAATAGCTACAGAAGACGTATGATATTTTCATTTATAGTTCCTTCTCATTTACATGTGTAAACTTAAGAAAGTCAGGAGTATTGTATTCTTAGGAAAATCAGAGCACTTCAAAAAATTGTTGTTTATAATGTTTAGAAATTTAGACCGAACATTTTCATGGTATAGACTAGAGTAGTCTTAGCTAAACAGAACCATTTATTAGTCTGTTGTACATATTGTTTCAGACACATTTATTATATTATAAACAAAAGGAGAATAAAGTAATGTAAAACTACTTTGAGAAGGTGTCTAACAAAAATAAGATAATTATGGGATTTCTATTATCCACACTCAATTAAGACTAATATTTTTAATTTAAAAAAGTTTTTTAAAGAAGAATTCCTGAATGGTAATTGATAATACATTACCTTGGTTTTTCTGATAAAAATCCTTGAAGAATAAAAATAATTTCTTCCTACTTCTATATTATGATCAGCATAATTGAAATAATATGCTTCAATTGTTAGTAAAGTAAAATTTATGTTTTGGGATCAATGAAGCTAAGCCAGCACTAAGAATTTTATTACTATTCCTCCACTACACTTCAGAGAGTTATTTCTTCATCCTTAAACATACCACAATAATAAGTCTGCTAGGTCCATTTAGATTTTCAACCCAACCCTAAAAGAAAGAAGATTTCTACTGGTTACACATTTCAGAAGATTGTTGTATCTTTGAAACATCTGCAGTCTCATCTTAATAAATTTCAAACAAGAGCACTGAGACCCCAGCCAACAGAACTATCTAATTCAGTATTATTAAGATCTGAAAGATCAGTGGCAAAGCATTGGCTATTTTCTGCACCTTGACTATGCAAAAATTAAAATTTGGCCAGGATTGTTGCTCATAGCAGGAGTCATGAATGGTTTTGTGGTGTTTTATGACATCTTAAGGGCCACATTGAACCTTGTTCTTATATTATGATCTGCTAAGCAATTCACCAACCATACTTCTCCACCTCAGTCCTGACTTTAGCCTCCTTAGGAGAATATTGGAGACATGATTGGTAGTAATGGCCCATTTCTTGACATTTTTGACCAGCTATACAGCCCATGCCAGATACACATATATATGTGTGTGTGTGTATATGTTGTGTGTGTGTGTGTATATGTAGTGTGTGTGTGTGTGTGTTGACTTGCTTAAAGATGTTACAGGGAAGATTATGTTTAAGAACAGTTAGAGGGAAATGTCTTTTTGAGTTTGTTTCCTAAACCCTAAGCCATTCAGCTGACCTTATGATGTCTCTTTACCTCATAGTGTAAAAGTCAAAATGTGTGTGTATAATGGGAAAGGAGAGAGGCGGGAGGAGAAGATGAAGGGATTAATATCCATGAGCCTTTTAGTAAGGACCTGCCTTTTACTAGAGACTGAGCACTCCTCATACATTGTCTCATTAAACCAGGTCTCCAAAATAGTATCCCTCCTGTTTTATGGAAGGGACAACTCAAAAATTTTGCATTGCCAGTAAGTGGTGGAGCTGGAATTTATCTGCCCCAAAGCTTCACAGACTTGCTTTAAAGAAGATGGTATAATTCTATCTCACACCAGTTAGAATGGCGATCATTAAAGAGTCAGGAAGCAACAGGTGCTGGAGAGCATGTGGAGAAATAGGAACACTTTTACACTGTTGGTGGGAGTGTAAACTGGTTCACTCATTGTGGAAGTCAGTGTGGCAATTCCTCAATGATCTAGAACTAGAAATACCATTTGATCCAGCCATCCCATTACTGGGTATATACCCAAAGGATTATAAATCCTGCTACTATAAAGACACATGCACACATATGTTTATTGCGGCACTATTCACAATAGCAAAGACTTGGAACCAACTCAAATCTGTATCGATGATAGACTGGATTAAGAAAATGTGGCACATACAAGCCATGGAGAACTATGCAGCCATAAAAAAGGAGGAGTTCATATCCTTTGTAGCGACATGGATGTAACTGGAAACCATCATTCTGAGCAAACTACCGCAAGGACAGAAAACCAAACACCGCATGTTCTCACTTATAGGTGGGAATTGAACAATGAGAACACTTGGACACAAGGCGGGGAACATCACACACGGGGGCCTGTCCTAGCATGGAAGCTAGGGGAGGGATAGCATTAGGAGAAATACCTAATGTAAATGACGAGTTAATGGGTGCAGCAAACCAACATGGCACATGTAGACATACGTAACAAACCTGCACATTGTGCACATGTACCCTAGAACTTAAAGTATAATAAAAAAAAGAAGATAGCATAATTCAAAGTACTTTTAAAAGGACATAGCACTATACTGAGGTTAGGAAAAACAGTATTCCCAAACTGGGATCCTTCTGTGCACTTTGTAACCCTTGTTTACCCTGGCAGTTGCAATACTACCAATTTGACCATTAAGAACATTCGGTATGTTTAAACTATAGTGGGAAAGCCAAGATATGAAGCCATCACCCATGGGAATTTTGAGGCTAGAGTAATTAGAAGCTAATTTAAGATCTCCATTCAACTCTAGGACAGTCAGGGTAACTGCCAGAGAAGGTGCATGCTGAGTAAATCCTGATCCCAAAGTGGAATTTTGCCCTAGTATAATGGGTTCATATTTGATTGGCTGCACTTAGCTATAAATCCTGAGGAGGAGGAAGAGGAGGAAGAGGAGGAGGAGGAGGAGGAAGAGGGGAAGGGGAAGAGGAAGAAGATGAAGAAAGAAGAAGGAGAAGGAGGAGGAGGGGGAGAAACGACATCAGAAAGTAATTGGGCTAGAAGAACTTTAATTTGGAAGCAAAACAGAGAATCCAGGTGAGTGGGCTTACTGGGAAAGGCTCATGCCACGTTGCTCCCACAATGGAGGGCCTTATGATGGCGATGGTTAGGTTTCTGCTCTCCTGCTGCACCACCATTTCTCCCAAGGCCTTGATGTAGGTGCAAGAATTGGGCGGATCTCTGATCAGCTTGGGTGTGATCTCGTCAATAACAGCGTCGTCTAACCACGTAAAAAGTAGTCAGAGTGAAAAGAATTCTAGCAGCATATGTTAGACAATAGACCAAAAGGAAAATGTGACACGCAAATAGTCAAACAAAACTTCCACCTTTTAGCCTTGGTTCTGGAATTTAGTCACACAATACCAAGTTTGAGGGCATACCTGTTCAAAGCATGCATGAGCTCTTTGCTCTTCACTGCTAAGCCCAATCTCATCAGCCAAATCCTATGCCCTCCCATCTAGAGAGATAGGTAGGTAGAGAGACCAATAGAATCAATAGCAATACCACTTTATTATTACTACTAGTATAGGGCTATTAGTACTACTTTATTAGTATGACTTTAGCACTACTATTTATTTATCAATTACTTTACCAATACTACTACTTTATCTGTAGTAGTACTAAACTGGAGGTTATTACATACAACCTCTTTACTTCCTCTCCAAGAAGCTCCTAAGTACATTCATTGCACACATTTTTGAGTTCCAGTCATTCTCCCAATAGTGTGCTGGAAGCTGTGTTCAGGGAGTTTGAGGCTCTCATCCAAGGTGTTTCAGTGGCAGCCCTGTTCAGTGTTGTCCCATAGAAACCTGGTGCAGTGATCCTGAAGAGTTTAGCTTTACATTTAAAAAATTTCATTCAATGCAAATCAAACCAAAGTGACTACTTTTGGCAGACTGACAATCTCTTCTAGCAAATCTATGTAACGCATTTTGAAGGTCTGTTTAGAGTCTGTGCTAATAACTTGCTAATTATTTCCAGAGATTTCCAATGAATTCGAAGTCTGTCAAGTGGGGTGATTATAGTACTCTGAAATTGCTTCAAAATCATGAATATTGAATTCTCCTACTTATAATATGACATGTATCATGAATAACTGAGTTACCATAGCATCAGCCTAATCTTTCTTAAAAATATGTCAGAACTGGCCTGGCGGAGTGGCTCACACTTGTAATCCCAGCACTTTGGGAGGCCGAGGCGAGCGGATATTGAGGTCAGGAAATCGAGACCATCCTGGCCAACATGGTGAAACCCCGTCTCTACTAAAAATACAAAAATTAGCTGGGCGTGGTGGCACATGCCTGTAATCCCAGCTACTTGAGAGGCTGAGGCAGGAGAATCGCTTGAACCCAGGAGTCGGAGGTTGTAATCAGCCAAGATCGCACCACTGCACACCAGCCTGGTGACAAAGTGAGACTCCATCTCAAAAAAAAAAAAAAAAAAGAACCATTTGATAAACCCAAAGTCTATCTACACATCTCTAAGAGAGCAAAAAATTATTGTCAATTAAATATGTAACATTTATTCTAGCTGAGAGATCTATGTGCTTAAATTATTGATATAGCGTTTTAAAAATTAAGCTGCCATTCTAACTGGTGTGAGATGGTATCTCACTGTGGTTTTGATTTGCATTTCTCTGATGGCCAGTGATGGTGAGCATTTTTTCGTGTGTCTGTTGACTGCATAAATGTCTTCTTTTGAGAAGTGTCTGTTCATGTCCTTTGCCCACTTTTTGATGGGGTTGTTTTGTTTTTTCTTGTAAATCTGTTTAAGTTCTTTGTAGATTCTGGATATTAGCCCTTTGTCAGATGGATAGATTGCAAAAATGTTCTCCCATTCTGTAGGTTGCCTGTTCACTCTGATGGTAGTTTCTTTTGCTGCACAGAAGCTCTTTAGTTTAATTAGATCCCATTTGTCTGTTTTGGCTTTTGTTGCCATTGCTTGACATAGGAACGCTTTTACACTGTTGGTGGGAGTGTAAACTAGTTCAACCGTTGTGGAAGACAGTGTGGCGATTCCTCAAGGATCTAGAACGAGAAATACCATTTGACCCAGATTCCATTACTGGGTATATACCCAAAGGATTATAAATCATGCTACTATAAAGACACATGCACACGTATGTTTATTGCGGCACTATTCACAATAGCAAAAACTTGGAACCAACCCAAATGTCCATCAACCATAGACTGGATTAAGAAAATATGACACATGAGACCAGCGGCGGCGGCCGCAGCGGTACTGGAGGCGCAGAGGGCGGTGCAGGCGGAGCCTGGCGAGCACCTGAGCTAGCAGAGACCTGGCGGCCTTTCGGGAGGCGGCGGCGGCGGCACCCCAGGCCCAGCCGGCACGGGAGGAGTTCCAGGGCGATGGGGCCTTGGTCCGGGCTGATGCTTTGACAGCTGAAAAGAGCGCGGAGCCAGCGCCTGGTCGGGAGGGAGGGGAGCGCGGCGAGGAGAGCGCCAGCTAGCGAGAGAGCGAGCGAGCGCCTGGGAGGGGGCCGGGAGCCAGGGGCAGCTCGGGAGAGCCGGAGCGGTGGCGGCTGTGGCGAGGCTTGGAGCCCTCTTCCCTGCAAACCATGTTTGCCAAAGACAAAGGCTCGTTGGTGCCCTCGAACCGGCAGGCTGGGGAAAAGTTAGCTTTATACGTCTACGAATATTTACTGCAGGTAGGAGCACAGAAATCTGCACAGACCTTCTTATCGGAGATTCTCTGGGAAAAAAAAAAAAAAAAAACATCAGGTTGGGAGAACAGCCTCGGTTTTTGCACTCGTGGTGGTGTGTATTTTGGGACCTTTACTGTGCAGCTCCTAAAAGGAGAGACACTTGTGAACATTCAAGTGAAGCAAAAGCCTTTCCTGATTCTAGTGCAGCAGCTGCCCGGAGCCCCGTGCTTGGCAACATTCCCCCCAAAGATGGGATGCCGGGAGGCCGAGTCTCGCCAGGTTTCTTTCAGTGTCCTCCGGGGTCACTGCCCTCACCGCATGCACAGCCTCCACCTCACAATCCTAGCAGCATGATGGGACCCCACAGTCAGCCTTTTATGTCACCGCAATACGCAGGCGGCCCCAGGCCCCCCGATCAGAATGGGAAACCAGCCTCCTCCGGAGGAGTTCCTGGGAAACAGCCATTGCTGCCCAATTCCATGGATCCCACACGACAACAAGGCCACCCCCACATAGAAGGATCAATGCAGAGAATGAACCCTCCCTGAGGCATGGTGCCCATGAGTCCCAGCCCACAGAATTACGGCAGTGGCATGAGACCACCACCCAATTCCCTTGGCCCTGCCATGCCCGGGATTAACATGGGCCCGGGAGCCGGCAGACCCTAGCCCAATTCTAACAGTGCTAACTCAATTCCATACTCCTCCTCATCACCTGGTACCTATGTGGGACCCCCTGGTGGTGGTGGCCCTCCAGGAACACCCACTATGCCCAGTCCCTCAGATTCAACAAATTCCAGCGACAACATCTACACATTGATTAATCTGGTGCCACCTGGAGGCAGCCGGTCCAACTTCCCGATGGGTCCCAGCTTGGACGGTCCGATGGGCAGCATGGGTGGCATGGAGCCACAACACATGAACGGATTGTTAGGGTCAGGCAACATAAATGACTTCCAAAAAATTCTCCTAACAACGTGAATAGTATTAGCAGTCTTCCAGGCACCCCTCGAGATGACAGCGAGCTAGGAGGGAACTTCCTCCACTCCTTTCAGAATGACAATTACTCTCCAAGCATGACGATGAGTGTGTGATCCCCCCTTCTCCAAGATGCTGAGAGAGCTGGCATTGCAGGCAGGAAGATGCCAGAAATTATGCAAGAAGTGAGGTGTCATTACCCAGGAGCTGGTGGAGAGGGCATCTCCTGCTCCCCTCAACCCCCTCCCACCCCATCCACGCCCACCTTTTCCAATTTTAGTTTCATGCAGTAAAAAGGCCGAACTTTTTATTCCATAAAACAAAAGAAAGAAAGAAACAAAGAAACAAAGAAAGAAAGAAAGAAAATGTGGCACATGTACACCATGGAATACTATGCAGCCACAAAAAGGGATGAGTTCATGTCCTTTGCGGGAACATGGATGAAGCTGGAAACCATCATTCTGAGCAAGCTATCATAAGGACAGAAAACCAAACACCACATGTTCTCACTCATAGGTGGGAATTGAACAATGAAAACACTTGGACAGGGCGGGGAACATCACACACAGGGGCCTGTCCTAGCGTGGAGGCTAGGGGAGGGATAGCATTAGGAGAAGTACCTAATGTAAATGACGAGTTAATGGGTGCAGCAAACCAACATGGCACATGTATACCTATGTAACAAACCTGCACGTTGTGCACATGTGCCCTAGAACTTAAAGTACAATAATAAAAAATTTAAGCTGCCAGAATATGCTAGTGTGATTTTTCTGATCAATGTGGTACATTTATTTCTATTTTATACAACAGAACATAACAATACTACTTTGATTGTAGAAAATCTTCACTGTTATCACCTTGCTGACATGACACATTTTTGAACAACTAAGATGTGCAGAAGGTTAAGACTTATTCAGAATCACAACTCTCAGTATTAATGCCTCATTTCATCCTGGGGTAGAACATGGGCATTGACTATAATGTTTCCATTTTTCTTGCTTTGCTTCTATGAGTGCTGAGTGTGTTCTGGATACTCAAATGACTTTTCATTTAAATTGAATGGAGAAAGATTGAGGGGTTCTAGAATTAAAAACAACTTAAACTACATAGAAATATCAAGGATATTTTAATTATATGGTCACCTGGAGGCTGGGAAAAAGTGTAGGATGATGCAGACACCTCTCCATCTTAACAATAAGCCTACCTTATTTCATTTGTGGGTCAACAGTGGATTGACTGACCTGAGATCATTTTCCCTCAACTGCAAAAATATACAGTTTATGAAAACCAGGTCTTGAGAAAATAGAGCTTAATATCAATAAGGCTGTAAAGAAAAAATTCCTAGAAAACATCAGAGCCGAACAATGTGCTGGGATTGTATGTCACATGGCTAGTACCAGTTGCTGTCGTTAATGTTGGAGTACATGGAAAGCATAATACTTGGGGGGATGGGGCCTTATAAAGTTTAGTAGCTTTGCTTGTCTTGGAAAATGTTGTTTTTGGTTGTTGTTGTTTTGGTTTGGTTTGGTTTATTTGTTTGTTTTTTTTTTTTTTTTTTTTTTTTTTGGAGACGGAGTCTTGCTCTTGTCCCCCCCAGACTGGAGGGCAATGGTGCAGTCTGGGCTCACTGCAACTTCTGCCTCCCAGGTTCAAGCAATTCTTCTGCCTCAGCCTTCTGAGTAGCTGGGATTATAGGTGCCTGCCACCACGCCTGGCTAATTTTTGAACTTTTAGTAGACACGGGGTTTCACCATGTTGGCCAGGCTAGTCTCGAACTACTGACCGCAGGTGATCCACCTGCCTCGGCCTCCCAAAGTGCTGGGATTTCAGGCATGAGAAAATGTTGGTAACACACATGCAAGAAATTTTAATATTCTATAGATGGCTTGCCTCTGCTGTTGTTATTTACACATGTATTCCACTGTTTAATCTTCTCATTCCAATTTTACTTGTGAAAATAGCAATAATTATATTCATTCTAAATTCTCAGGCTATTATGAGGGTAAACAAAAATTTTCACAACTGCATTTAAGATCTTTGATGAAACAAAATGAGCCAAAAATCTAAGGCATTCCTATTTTTAAAGAAAACAAGGGAGCATCATACATCTGTGTAGGTAATAGTTGGTTTTAAAATGTCATTTCTGGCCAGGTGTGGTGACTCTAACCTATAATCCCAGCACATTGAGAGGCCAAGGAAGGAGGATCGCTTGAGTCCAGGAGTTTGAGACCAGCCTGGGCAACATAATAAGACCCTGTCTCTACAAAAAGAGTTTTTAAAAATTAGCTGGGCATGGTGGCGTGCACCTACTCAGGAGGCTGAGGCAGGAGGATTGCTTGAGCCTGGGAGTTGAAGGCTGCAGTGAGCTGTGATTCTGCCACCCTACTCCAGCCCGGGTGAAAGAGTGAGACCCTGTCTCAAAATGAAGGAATGAATGAATAAAACAAATAAAAATAAATTATCGTTTATAATACAGCCAAAGAGACCATCTGCTAGCTCATTCGGCCACTTCCTAGGATCAGACAGGAGATTAGTGTAAACATGCATATGCACTGATTGGGCAAAGCCCTTCTCAGGACTTTCACTCAATTCAGGGTTGCTGCTGTTGTTTGTTCTCAATATGTTTTTAAACAGTAAATAAGTTAGCATGGATAAAAACCACTATATTAACCAAAATACATGTCTGAAATTAATCTAAATGTTCTTCAGTATACTCAAGAAGATGCTTTGACCCATGGGTCTCAAATACTAAACTCGAATTGCTTCAGAAGAAGCATAAAGTCATTAAAAATTTCAGAAAGCAATATGTGTATGTCTATGTGTGTACATGCATAGACACATACATAATTTCTTCTAAAGATTACTATCAATTTTGGTTTCAAACTTATTGAATCAACATGATGATATCATTAATAGTTACATTATTTATGTATTTACAGAATGAAATGCCAAGAGGCATATGTATTTTCCCTCCCTCACCTTCCAATTTTCTTATGCAACAAGTTGGCAAGCCTAGTGGTTTATGAGGAAATCTGTTAGAGAGTAAGTAGTGGACACACTGTCTTATGATAACATTTGCTCTTTCTTTCTCCAGTCTAAATTATATAGTTCACTTGATTGTTGTAGTTACGAAGTTGTATTTGTTCACGTGTCTGTCTCCCCATTGGACAGTGAGTCCAGGAGAGCAGGGATTATGATTTTTATCTCTGTATCTAATCACTTTTCTGCCCCCAGGAGCCAGCTACCTTATTCAGTAAATGGATGCTCTTCCACATGGTAATCTTGATTGGTCAATTTCTGTACTATATAAGGTTTTGGGAAGCAGAGATGGACAATGATAAGAGAGAGTAGACGAAAGGAAGATGAGGTTATAGGGAGAATGTGGGAAAGGAAAGAAGGGGATATCTTCATAGAGCAGGAAGCAAAATTGGAAGTCAAAGTGTCCAGTGGCAGTGGTGAAAAGTGTTGACCAACCTCGATTTGGTGAAGGTGGCGTCACATCAATTTAAACTTTTCATGGGGAAGCAGGGTATTTCTCAACCTAATGCTTATGTAGAATTGGCCTCTGTATTTCCCTCCAGACTTTCACGGACTACTCAGCCTAGCCCAAACATGAGCCAGATGCCGAATGGACTGCCAATGTGAAAATTATTCGATTTGATTAAGAAACAATTTAATCTTATTCTGGTTTGTATTTAAAGCCTGCTAATATCAAAGTACACAGAATTTTCATTTTTATATCAGCAACTTAGATGCCATTTAGAAGCTGTGCCACCCTGAAATTAAAAGCACAAGTGCTAGAGTCAGCTTTCACCATTCCCCTAGAAGAGATCAGCTTTTTTGGTGTTAACAATGTGTTCTATAGCAGGAAGGCAAGACTACTGTCCAAGATCTGACCTCCTTTCCTATCTCCTGGAGGGCTGTGATGAGGGCCACTGCTGCTGGCTGTGAGGGTCTCCATTTCCCTGCCCGTCAACCCTGTACCCTCAGTGCACACACCACCTTTCCTTTTTTACATTGCAGACTAGCTGTGTCTTCTGGTGGCCACATAGCTTCAGAAGTGTGGTTTTTAGTAGGTACAGATCTACTAGGACCTTTCATTCAGTTAAAGCTTCTAGGAACTGAAAGACAACAGGAGGCGAGGAGAGCAGGAGAAAGAGGAAGCATGGAGTATTAGAAGATAAACGATCCTCATTTCAAATGAAGACTGCTTAATGAAAAATCTCCTTAAGGCACTATTTCCCAAACTTGCCTGTTCATCAGTGTGAATTACACAGGACCCCTGGGAAAAATCCAGACTCCTGGCTGCCATTTTAGAACCACTAAATAGATCTGCAGAGGTAAGAGTCTGGATAATGTGTATTTTCAACATGCCCTGGAAATTCCAACAGTCAGGCAAATTAGGGAATCACTAATTTAGAAGAAGTCCACTCCATCAACTGAATTTGTTAAGATTTGAATAGATCAGGATTAGCTCTCAAAAATGCATTGCTTCTTGAAGTAAACATTTCAACAGAATTAAATTTTGAAAGAATTAAATCCCCTAATGCTATCCCTTCCCTAGCTCCCCACAGGCCCCAATGTGTGATGTTCCCCTCCATGTGTCCATGTGTTTTCATTGTTCAACTCCCACTTATGAGTGAGAACATGTGGTGTTTGGTTTTCTGTTCCTGTGTTAGTTTGCTGAGGATGATGGCTTCCAGCTTCATCCGTGTCCCTGCAAAGGACATGAACTCATCCTTTTTTATGGCTGAGAGTATTCCATGGAGTATATGTGCCACTTTTTTTATCCAGTCTATCAGTGACGGGCATTTGGGTTGGTTCCAAGTCTTTGGTATTGGGAACGGTGCTGCAATAAACATGTGTGTGCATGTCTTTATAGTACAGTGATTTATAATCTTTGGGCATATACCCAGAAATGGGATTGTGAGGTCAATTGGTATTTCTGGTTCTAGATCCTGGAGGAATAGCCACACTGTCTTCCCCAATGGTTGTACTAATTTACACTCCCACCAACAGTGTAAAAGCGTTCCTCTTTTTCCACATCATCTCCAGCACCTAATGTAGATGAGAGGTTGATGGGTGCAGCAAACTACCATGTCATGTGTATACCTATGTAACAAACCTGCACGTTCTCCACATGTATCCCAGAACTTAAAGTATAATAATAATCACAATTAAAAAGATTGAAAATTTAAAATTTTAATTTAAATTGGGCTTTAGTTACTTGCAAAATACATTGTATTTCCAAACAATGTGCAAAACAAAGAGTTATTGTATGCATTATCAATAAAGTTATATCACTTCTCATAAAAATAACATTAAAGAAAAATAATTAAATCCATTTTAGGACAATTAAAAAATGTATCTGTCAATTTTAACTGAAAATTCTCTTACATTTATACATCCCACATTCTAATAAGGACTAATTGACACTTGATTATGAGCAGTAAAGAAATATGTGTTTGCATGTCTGTATACTTATAGACCTGTTCCAATGGAAATATCTATTTGGAGTCAGAAAATCTGTTTGGTCCCAGTTCTCACTAAAAACATGATCTCATTAAAAATACTTAAACACAATAAACTTTACTTTCTCATTTATTAAAAAAAATTAAATCCCTGGCACTAGAAATGTAAAACATGGCAAGTATGCATGTTCTAATCTGGAGTTAATTTGGTATGTGTAATCCCATAAGCAAAGCAGTAGCCATGTCCTATTGTTTTTTTTTCTTTCCCAATACACATGCTAATCTACTGCCTCCCCCAGCCCCTGGCCATATTAATATTACTGAAGCCCACTTTCATCAGTGTCTTTCCACGATGAAAACAAATGAGCAAGCAACCAAAAACTACACAAAACCACATGCACACACATGGCCCTCCTTCAATGGATCTCCACTGCCTAGAGAATTAAATCCAATTCCTCTGCATGGTATGCAAAATCTCCACAGTACGGCCCAACCTGCCTCTCCAGCTTGATCTCTAACTGCTTCCCTACACATAACACATGTGCTGCCAAGAGGGACTTCTGGCTGTGTCCCAAACACGCCTGGGTTTCCCAGCTCCAGTTGCCCTGCCTGGTGTCTGTGCACATCTCACCTATCCACACTCCTCCCACTCTTCCAAGTCACCTCATATGCCTCTCTCCACTCCACCAGACTTAATATGTACTGTTTCCCCACCACCCCACGTGTATAATTCTGCCCTGTTCTATTTGTCTGGGACGTGAGCTCCTTGGGAACAGTCTATATCTTAAGAAAGCACCTTTTAATCTCTAACACTGCCGAGTATGTGAGTAGACTGGAAAGACCATGAGCTTCAGAATCAAGTGGCCATGGATACCTTTCTTGAAAGGTAAAGAAAGTCTTGAGAGACTTTCAAGGAGTTACTTAGCCTTCCTGAGCTTTTTGCTCCTTAATTAGTATAGCAGTGATAATAAATCAACCCTACAATATTAAGTTGTGGAAATAAATGTCTGTGAAAGCATCTCGCTCACAGTGATTGCTCAATAATGACTCATCTCCTCCCTTCCCTTCTTAATTCAGATTTATTAACATATGTTCAATAAAGCAATAGGTATTTGTGATTCCATTTTTCTAGTTCCTAATTCTAGTTATTTCAGGTTTTTATACAGGTGCAGAAGCCCTTTTCTTCTACACTGGTTCCCCTAAGAGGAGTTACCTTGACCTAAAACATAAGAAAAGCACCAACCATAAAACTCTGCCTTTCTTAGTCAGTTATGTGCATTTTAAAAAATAAACTTTCTACTTAAGCTGTTATTCTGGAAAACCAGAATTTCACTGGCAATCCCTGATCCATTTATGCCACTAAATTTCCAAGGTAAATACAGCAAATAGGCAGAAGGTGGTAATATGAAGATAGAGATGAGTCAGGATGGGAACTGGTGGCTGGGATGAGGGCCAGAAGAAAACTACAGGTATAAGAGCCAGGAAAATTAGTTGCTTAACACTGATTAATGGCCATGCTTGTCCTACTCATTACAAACATTAACTTCTCATTTAAGTTATTTTAAAATATTTTTATGCTGACATGCTAAAGTTTTTGTGCTAACAAAATTAAATTTCATCTTTCTGGAATATTTCAGAGCCAAGGTAATCTAAAATTTTTAGATAGGGGCTAAAGAAAGGGAGCTCAGGCCCGACAGTCTCAGGATATAGGCCGAATAGAAAATGGGGGGAGCTGAACAAAGAGAGACGTTAGGCTTGCAAAGGTAGGGACCAGGATGTAAGCATGAGGTTCAAGTTCACAGTCCCATTCACTTTATTAACAGCATTGAGCAGTATCACTGCTGCCCAAGCCATCAGAAAGGTCCTGGCCAAAAATGCAAATCCTTCTTTATCTTCCAGAACTGGAATTCCCATTCAACAGATTTTCTGGAAAAATAAAGTTTCCTTTTACATTGTCATGGCTATTTTTTTGAGATCACAATGCCCAGAGTACAGCTTCTAGATTATCTTGATGTCTAACTCCTGATTCCTTAAGAACAGCTGAAATACTAAGAGCAAATGACAGCTGCTAGACCCCTTGAAGTTACTGTTTAAAAAAAAAAACTGTTCCCTAGCTATTTCTCTGTTTCACTGAAAGAAAAACAAACTCCCAGGGGAAACAGAAACCTAAAAACCTTTGAAAATAATTCTTTTATAACACAGGCCAATTACTAAATAGAGAACTCATCAAAAGTATTTTCTTAAAGCAAAAAAATAAACCTGCATTTAGGTAAATTAATGTTTATTCATAAGGATTTTTAATGTTATTTGTTATTCTAAAACTTGCAAAAATTCCATCTGTTATAGGAGTTATTGAAATAGTCATAGATGGGTGTATGTGCGGGGGAGAAGATGGCGGCGGCGGGGGAGGCAGCGTGAGCAGCCGGAGGAGCGCCGAGTCCCATTGAAACCGGCAGCCATGGCCCTCCACAGCCCGCAGTATATTTTTGGAGATTTTAGCCCTGATGAATTCAATCAGTTCTTTGTGACTCCTCGATCTTCAGTTGAGCTTCCTCCATGCAGTGGAACAGTTCTGTGTGGCACACAAGCTGGGGATAAACTACCTGATGGACAAGAATATCGGAGAATTGAGTTTGGTGTCAATGAAGTCATTGAACCCAGTGACACTTTGCTGAGAACCCCCAGCTACAGTATTTCAAGCACACTGAACCCTCAGGCCCCCGAATTTATTCTCGGTTGTACAGCTTCCAAAACAACCCCTGATGGTATCACTAAAGAAGCAAGCTACGGCTCCATCGACCAGTACCCAGGCTGTGCCCTCGCTTTGGATGGAAGTTCTAGTGTGGAGGCGGAAGTTTTGGAAAATGATGGTGTCTCAGGTGGTCTTGGACAAAGGGAGCGTAAAAAGAAGAAAAAGCAGCCACCTGGATATTACAGCTGTTTGAAAGATGGTGGTGATGATAGTATTTCCGCAGAAGCCCTGGTCAATGGCCATGCCAACTCAGCAGTCCCGAACAGTGTCAGTGCAGAGGATGCAGAATTTATGGGTGACATGCCCCCGTCAATTACGCCCAGGACTTTTGACAGCCCCCAGAACTCCACGGACTCTGTCAGTGACATTGTGCCTGACAGTCCTTTCCCCGGAGCACTCGGCAGTGACACCGGGACTGCAGGGCAGCAGGAGGGGGGTCCCGGGGTTGATTTTGGTCAGTCCTGCTTCCCTGCAGGGGCTGGCAGAGACACCCTGTCAAGGACAGCTGGGGCTCAGCCCTGCGTTGGTACCGATACTACTGAAAACCTTGGAGTTGCTAATGGACAAATACTCGAATCCTCGGGTGAGGGCACAGCTACCAACGGGGTGGAGTTGCACACCATGGAAAGCATAGACTTGGACCCAGCCAAACCCGAGAGTCCATCACCTCCTGCTGACGGCACGGGCTCTGCATCAGGCACCCTTCCTGTCAGCCAGCCCAGGTCCTGGGCCAGTCTCTTTCACGATTCTAAGCCCTCTTCCTCCTGGCCGGTGGCCTATGTGGAAGCTAAGTATTCCCCTCCCGCCATATCTCCCCTGGTTTCTGAAAAGCAGGTTGAAGTCAAAGAAGGGCTTGTTCCAGTTTCAGGGGATCCTGTAGCCAGGCATTGGTTGCTTTCCCGACAATGTACCACCTGATGAAGTTCATTCCTCTGTATTCCAAAGTGCAAAGGCCCTGTACGTCAACACCCAAGGTAGACAGCTTTGTTTGGCTAATGAATGAATTTACTAATATGCCAGTACCTCCAAAACCCGGACAAGCTCTTGGAGATAAAATCGTGAGGGATATTCGCCCTGGAGCTGCCTTTGAGCCCACGTATATTTAGACTCCTGACAGTTAACAAGTCAAGCCTGTCTGAAAAGGATCGACAAGAAGATGCTGAGGAATACTTAGGCTTCATTCTAAATGGACTTCATGAGGAAATGTTGAACCTAAAGAAGCTTCTCTCACCAAATAATGAAAAACGTGCGATTTCCAATGGCCCCAAAAACCAGTCAATGAAGAAGAGCAAGAAAAACAAGGTGAAGGAAGCGAGGATGAATGGGAACAAGTGGGCCCCCGGAACAAGACTTCCATCACCAGCCAGGCGGATTTTGTTCAGACTCCAATCACCACATTTTTGGTGGCCACATCAGGTCTGTGGTTTACCAACAGAGTGCAAAAGAATCTGCCACTTTGCAGCCATTTTTCACGTTGCAGTTGGATATCCAGTCTGACAAAATACGCACAGTCCAGGATGCACTGGAGAGCTTGGTGGCAAGAGAATCTGTCCAAGGTTATACCACAAAAACCGAACAAGAAGTTGAGAAAAGTCGAAGAGTGACTCTGGAAAAACTCCCTCCTGTCCTCGTGCTGCACCTGAAACGATTCGTTTATGAGAAGACTGGTGGTGCCAGAAGCTTATCAAAAATATTGAATATCCTGTGGACTTGGAAATTAGTAAAGAACTGCTTTCTCCAGGGGTTAAAAATAAGAATTTTAAATGCCACAGAACCTATCGGCTCTTTGCAGTGGTCTACCATCACGGCAACAGTGCGACGGGTGGCCATTACACTAGAGACGTCTTCCAGATCGGTCTGAATGGCTGGCTGCGCATCGATGACCAGACAGTCAAGGTGATCAACCAGTACCAGGTGGTGAAACCAACTGCTGAACGCACAGCCCATCTCCTGTATTACTGCCGAGTGGACCTGCTGTAAACCCTGTGTGCGCTGTGTGTGAGCCCAGTGTCCGCTTTGTAGGACACCACCTCACACTCACTTTCCGCCTCTCTTTATTGGCTCTTTAGAGAGAAACTCTTTCTCCCTTTGCAAAAATGGGCTAGAATGAAAAGGAGATGCCTTGGGGTTCGTGCACAACATAGCTTCTGTTGACTCTAACTTTGAAATCAAAATCATTTGGTTGAAACAGACTGTCGCTTGATTTTAAAAAACACACAAAAACCCATATTTCTGAAATAATGCTGATTCCTGAGATAAGAAAGTGGATTTGATCCCCAGTCTCATTGCTTAGTAGAATAAATCCTGCACCAGCAACACTTGTAAATTTGTGAAAATGAATTTTATCTTCCTTAAAAAAGAAATGTTTTAATCCATCACATTTTTCTTCCCTACCCTTTAGTTTTTGATAAATGATAAAAATGAGCCAGTTATCAAAGAAGAACTAGTTCTTACTTCAAAAGAAAAATAAACATAAAAAATAAGTTGCTGGTTCCCAACAGGAAAAAAATTAGTAATTGTGCTGAGGGAAACTGCTTACATAGACATTGCAGATCAAATATTTGGAGTTAAAATGTTAGTCTACATAGATGGATGATTGTAACTTTACTGCCATTAAAAAGATTTCAGATTGCATTCATGCTTCTGTGTACACATAATGAAAAATGGACAAATAATGAAGATCTCTCCTTCAGTCTGCTCTGTTTAATTCTGCTGTCTGCTCTTCTCTAATGCTGCATCCCTAATTGTACACAGTTTAGTGATATCTAGGAGTATAAAGTTGTCACCCATCGATAAAAATCACAAAGTTGGTTTAAAAAAAAAGAAATAGTCATAGATGATGGTATAGGTGGAGAGGGGTTGCTGGGCTTTATGTAAAGTGCTATTCAAAGCTTCACATATAGGTTTCATTCAAACTTTAAGAAGAAAAAAATGAACAATCAGAAATGGGTGAGATGTGGGGATATAAATAGATATTTTGTACATAAGACTTCTGCATCCCCAAATATTAGCTTGTTGTGGAATTCTGTCATCTATTCTTGTTTCAGTCAAAACAAGCAAAAAAAAAAAAAACAGTCAGAACAGTATGAACAACAATCATCTAGTTCCACCAAAAACTTTTCACTCAGCAAGCAAGCAAGCATTGAGTCCCTAGCTGAAGATGCAAAGAGGAGCAAGAAATATTCTCTTCCATTGAGACGGTCATTGTCTAAAGGAAAATGTAGATAAGCAACCAGACATTCAGAATGACCTGTGTTACAAGCAATAATAAAGCTGAGCGCTGGGTACTATGGGGCACTTGGGAAGGCTGCCTAAGCCAGAGAGCTTCACAGGGAGCCTTGATGTCTGAGTAAGAATTAACCAGGTGAAGCAGAAGGGGAAATAGGCTCTAGGAAAAGAGAGCTTTGAGCGCAAAGGCAGGCAGAGTGTGAGGAGAGGAGGCCTTACTTCCTTGTGACTGCAGCATGAAGGTAAGGGGAGGGCTGAGAGAAATGAGGCTCCACAGGTGCTCCTGGATGTCCTAATTAATTTTGAATTAACAAATCATAAGTATGACTTTTTCTCTGTTTTTTTTTAAAAAAACTTTGTTCCTTAATTGCATGCAAAATGTATCTGTTGAGATAAAATAATTTCATACCTATTTCTAATTAGTTGCTCAAATAATTGTTATCCTTGGAGAGCAGTAAATGACAGATGAACATTAAAAATTTTGTAAAAATGTCAATTGCAGTTTGTTCATATATCACGTAGCAATTACCAGCCTTGTCTGGCTGACATATACCTGAGGGAGTGTGGAAAGTGCCGAATGCCTGAAGATAAATCAACTCTTCCTCTGGGAGGTGAGTTTATTCTTCTTTGAAACCCATGGGTATTTAGTGTCTGGAGATGGTGGTATGGAGTACATAGAGAAGCCCTTCATTAGGAGTGAACTCTTACTTATTTTCTCTGATGAACTCTCAGACTATTTTGCTGCCTCAAATTGCACTACGACCTGTCAGGCGTTAGAGAGATCAGCAGTGGAGACAGTCCCAGGAAACAGTCTGGAAACAAAAGGGTCTGCCCCTCTCCTGGGTACATCAAATATGGAAGCATCACATTTGCCAAGAGACAACACCATAAGAGGATAACTGACAGCAGTCAATTCTATCCTGAAAATGCTCTGAGGCTTTAAGCATAGTTTACTGCCTTGACATTGGGCCTCAGAGTACACCTGCCTTTTCTCCCACTATCCTGATAAATTCTGCACTCTAAAATGTTTCTCTGTATCAATGTAGCAAACCTCCATTTATTAGCAACTTTAAGTAACCTCCAGGTCCTTTAGATGACTTTCATTCTTCTTTGTCCTGGACATTTTTATATGACAGACAAAAATATCTATTCTCAGAGCTGGAGGAGATAAAAATGTTTTCCCTGAAGGGAATGAACTCTTAATTAAGCTAAAAGTTTTTAAAGAGTATATATTAAATGTAAATACAGTATTATAGAAAATTATAATGTAATAAATTTACTGTGAAAGAGTCCATTTTTCTGGTATAATACTTTTTATGTAGAGTTTAAAAAAAATTGAACAAAAAGCAAAGTAAACTTAGTGAAATGGAGCAGAATAAAGAAACAGAAAACAAACCTATCCTGAGACCCAAGCTGTGTCCTAGGATGAAAGTGGTTTCTGCTGATTGGCAAGAAGAGAAGAATCCTAGACACTATTTCTCTTGCATAATAGGACAGTAAGGAAAGGGTGTCTCAGCCAAAGAAGTCAAGAGAACTTCTGCCAGATCTTGGAGCAATTCTTATTCTTCGTTAGTTCTTCTTTACTAATCATTTGATTAACTGATATTAAACACTCCCTAGCACTGCAATAAGTGTTTTATATAACTTTATTCAACCTCACAACAATCAAATGGGCCCATTTTACAAATGAAGGACCTGGGGTTCAGAGAGGCCAAGGGACTTTCTCAAAGTCACACAGCTAGTTAGTTGTGGAGCTATGCCAAACTCATGTCAGAATCAAAAATGTTTCTTCTGAAATTTTATACTATTCATTGTACTTGCTTTATCTAGTGACAATGTTAAGTTCATTAAGAAGCGAGAAACCACTTCTTTGTATAGTATTCCCAAGTACCTCATGCAATCCTATACAATTTAGCAAAATGTTTCTTTAAGAATTTTCTATCCCCCTTCTCTTTCAGCAGTATATTCCCCACCAGGGGATGAAAGAGGTAACAGGGACAAGGTAGCTAAGGCCAGCACCGTTTCAAAGCATTTTGCTGCAAAACTGTTTCTCTTCATCGTCTCATTAATAGACAGCTACAAAGAATCAAAGAGAGCAACATTCTACTCACACCTTGATCCCTTTATTTGACCAATTACTCAAGGGAATCGACGATTTTTTTTTTGGCTCCACAGGGCACGGATAAACAACTTCATCGATGTGCTTCAGGTTACCATTTGAAAAGGCAGTAGAGATATGTATAAAGGCTTCCAGCTTTGGCATCTGACTAGCCGTAAGAGCTTCTGGGTGGCAGTGATGTTAAGTTGCACAGCATGTCTACAGAAGATTAAGCAGAAGGAAATACAGTGAGATAAGTCAGCATCATGCCTTGCTATAACTGCACCTACTCCCATAACTGGCATACCTATCAGATTTTGGTGGCTGCACCAAAACACCAGGAAGAAAAGGATGGGGCACGGCTGCACACTTATGTGATACTTGGAATGTCTTATGTATTGATGATGTGTTTGTGTACATAAACCCTATTCACTGATGCACTGTATGGCATATTTAGAGGTCACTTGGCTCTAATCAACTGGAAAAAGAATCACAATCCTCTGAATTTACAAAGGTGCTTCTATAAGCAGCCATTAAAAGAACAAAAACATGTAAATTAAGCATCTAACTGAAGAAATTGGAAAATATAAATAAACTGGAGAGAAGCAACAGTGGATTTTTAAATGAGCAATATAAGTTGTTATAAAGTTCCAGGCCAGACATGAAAATTGATGTCAAAATCTGAAATTGCAACTACTGGAATACAAAGCTATATAGACAGTATGTGATAACAATGAAATACTTCATTCTAGGAATACATGGTTTATCGAATACCAGGAAACTTATTAATTTAATTTAACTCAAAAAGAGAAAAACTATATAATAATCTGTATGTATTTTGAAAAGTTTAAGACGATGTTTAGTTTTCATTTCCAATTTCATTAAATGAATTCACTAGAATAGGAATAAAATGATTAAACAATATGTATTTAATTTGCTAGCCAATGTCATTCTTAATGGTGAAAAGCTAGGAATACTGCTCGTAAAGCCAGGGCTAGAAATAATGCCTGCAGTCACAACTACTACTTAACATTGTTCTGAGGTCCTAGCCTTGTAAGTAATTAGAAAGAAAACTAAAATTAATGAAGAAATATAGATATTAAAAAGACAGTCACAAAAATTACTATAGGATTATATAATTGCATACCTGGAAAACAGAAGCAGCTTTTTTAAAAAGCTAAAGTGTACTATAGTTCAGTAAGGTGTCCACTGATAAAAATTATATAAAAAGGCCAGGCACAGTGGCTCAAGCCTTAATCCCAGCACTTTGGGAGGCTGAGGCAGGCGGATCACGAGGTCAGGAGATCGAGATCATTCTGGCTAACAGGGTGAAACCTCGTCTCTACTAAAAATACAAAAAATTTAGTCAGGCACGGTCGGTGGCGGGTGCCTGTAGTCCCACCTACTCGGGAGGGTGAGGCAGGAAAATGGCGTGAAACCGGGAGGCGGAGCTTGCAGTGAGCCGAGATCGCGCCACTGCACTCCGGCCTGGGCAACAGAGCAAGACTCCATCTCAAAAAAAAAAAAAAAAAAAAAAAAGAAAGAAACATTAGCTTGCCTGTATATAAACAAAAATTAGAGAATACAATGCAAGAAATGTTCAAATGTGAACATTTATATCAAATTAATCATAAATTAATATAATAACAGAAAGCAAAAATTGAATAAATGGGAAAACATATTGTTCTTGGATAGGAAGAGTCAATATTTTAAATATGCTAAATGTTTCTAAAGTATTCTATATCTATAAAGTAATTCCAACCAAACTCCCAAGATTTTTAAAAACCTGGCAAGATTATCTTAAATTTAATCAAGAAGTATATGCAATGAGAACAGTCAGGAAAACTCTATAAAAATGAGAGTGTGGGAGGTGGAGGTTGCACTGAGCCATGATTGTGCCACTGCACTCCAGCTTGGGCAACAGAGTGAGACTTCATCTCAAAAAAATTAATAAATAAAGTAAAAAATAAAAATATAAACTCCTCATGTATGACTTCTGTAGTCAGACACTAACACTGTATTTTTATTAGAAGCAGGAATTGGGGTAGGGGCATTAAATTTATATAACGCTTTTGAAACAATTCAGAAGCCTTTAATGTGGTCTCTTAACAATCAACGAGTTAGCCACATGACCTCATTTTGGTAGTATCCACAGGAGATTTGGCCTCTACTTCATTGGGCTCATTGAAGGTAATCAAATCTTTTCTAGTCATGAGAATCTTTGATCTTTAATTATTTTACTAAGTCTTGCTCTTCAAAAATAACTGTCTTATTTAGTCCCATTAACCCACCAAGACCTGCTTACACATATACATATATATATATGTAAAAGAAAAGAGTAATGTCCCTTAAACTAAGGGGCAATCTCTGTGGAATATTTGGTGTCCCAAGGTGAAAGAGACACTGTAACATTTTACAGAGAATTTGTAGAGTGCTGAGTAAAAGCAAATAAATGAATTCTACAAATTAGCTCCAAGTTTAGAACAATTAAACACAAATAAGTACATTCTAATTTAAGCAAAAACCATTATACCCAATGTACAGATTAACAGAAATTCACAAAATGTTAAAATTTTTGCTAGTTCACCAGTAACTCCCATAAGATGTAAAGATTAGTCGACACGTTTTTAATGCTTTAGCAAGGATCATTTCTATAACTCCATAAGGCAGCATGGTATAGTGGTATGGCCGTCAAACTTCGGCATATAGCAGGGTTGCCTAGGAAGTTGCTCAAACAAACAAACAAACATATGTCCTGACCCTGGAAATTCTCATTCAGCAGTGTCAAAGCTTGGGCATCTAGCTTTACTTTGAACACACTCTCTAGTAATTCTGATACACTCTGAATTTGAGAACCATTAGTGTATTGGAAAGAACTCAGGCCCTTTGGAGCCATGAAAGACTGGATTTGAATTCTGATTCTGCCATTTATTTGCTATGTGCCTGGGGCAAATTACTTACCTCTCTGCACCATCATGTCTAAAATGCCAATCATTTGACTAACTTATCAAGTGATCGCAGAGAAGTAGGATTAAGCACATATTATGCTGTTCTTATAGACAATTTTGCATTTAACAAAATTTTAGTTCATTTTGCATAGTAATCTATAATAAATGCTAAATGCAACACAATGTTTGATTCACCATCTTGTCATGTTTTCTTTCCACACCAAAGGTCAATTTCACAGAGTTCTTTAATAATTCTTTCTTGCAGCTGGGCAGGAAAGGAACTAGGGTGGCTAGGAAGTTGAACAACCTTAAGATTATTTCTGCTCTGCAACAGAATTGGTGGTGTCGCTACATTATTCGTGCTAGAGGATGGAAGAAGTGTTGATACTAACTCAGAAGTGACAAGCAATAGTTTCCCCTTCTTCATGATATTGTCATGGAGGAAGAAATTTCCTAGGAGAGGCAATAAACTACAATAGGGAAAGTATGGGCTTTAGAGATTAGAGACCTGCATTCCAATTTTGCTGTATAACTGGGCACAAATTACATAACCTTGGATAGAGGACAGCTTTCATGAACTAATATCTCATCTGTGATATAGGAATAGGCACACTACAGAGATTTCTGAGGATTAGAGTAATGAAGTCAAATGTTTGTCTTAGTGCCTACCACATTGTAGGTCCCTAATGATAGGAAAATTCCCTTTCTACTTCCACAGCAGTACTCCATTTCCAAAAGATGCTGGTCAGAAAGCTGTGTCGTGTGTGTGTATGTGTATGTGTTTGTGTGTGTGTGTGTGTTGGGCGATGCCAAGGTTGCTGATTCTATTCTGTGATCCAGAGTGTATGACAAAATCATGTTGAACCTCATGGCTCTTGAATAAAATAACTACGGGAAATTTGAAGCTTTTAAGAAAAAGACGGTGCGATTGGAAGAGATTTTTAAGAACAGGAAAGAAGCTGGACATGTAAAACCATGCTGGTGATTGAATTAGTGAATGATAGTGTAAAAGAAGGTAAGAAAGAAATTGAGAAAATAAATTGCTTCTGTTTCTGGAACTGTTAGTGTATCCCCAGGACTACATTTCCTTCCCTCCCTCCCTCTCTTCCTCCCTTCCTCCCTTTCCCCCTTCCTTCCTTCCTTCCTTCCCCTGTAACTGGCCCACAGGGGAGAGGTTGAACATGCTTCAGCTGATCTGACTCCAGTAACAGGAAAACTGAAAACTAGTTACACTAGAGGCCTCTTGCTTTTTGTGAGATAATTTCTTAGGAAAAATTTTAAAAAAAAACTAATGAACACAACTGGCTTTGGAAGTTTAAGTGCAAATATTTATAATTTTGGAAGTTTCCAAATGCCTTTCCAAATGTTCCCAATTGCCTTTGCCTTATATAGAGATTTAACAGAATCATTAATGTCAATCAGAAACTCATTTTTGAAAGTTGAGAAAAAGCAGCTTTTATACAGGGAAGCCTGGGGCAAGCATAAACACACTACTTTTTTTTTTCCTACAAAAGAGTCTAAAAATTATCAAGGAACTCGTAAAATAAAATTAGCACTTCTATTGTGTGCTTCTTTAATAATCAACAGTGTTGCTCGCAGTCCCAGCGCTCCCAACGAGGATGCCTCCCGTTGACAACAACCTGAGCAGACCTGCGCCTAGGCCCTCTGCCAGGCCTGTGCTCGCCTCGCCCAGGGGGAGGAAGACTGAGCCCGGCTCAGGCTGCGCTGCGCGCGGTCCCATTTCCTTCCAGCGATCAGTCCCCTGGCTTGCCAGCGAGTCCCCTGGCTTGCCCCAGCGCCCGCCGCGGCCTCCAGCTGCCCCCGCCCTGACCACCGGCCCGGACGTGCCAGCGGCCGCCGCTGGCAGCGCCTGTGCCATGGGGCTGCCCACTCTGGAGTTCAGTGATTACTACTTGGACAGCCCGGATTTTAGGGAGCGCTTGCAGTGTCACCAGATTGAGCTGGAGCGAACCAACAAGTTCATCAAGGAGCTCATTAAGGACGGCTCTCTGCTCACTGGGGCGTTGAGGACAGGTAATGTTGATTGCCTGCCCAGTTCCCTTGCCCTTTCATCCTTTCCAAAGGAACCCTGAGTTCCTTCAGTAACACACCTCTACCCAGGTTGGAGATCTGTCTATGGCAGTGCAGAAATTTTCCCAGTCATTACAAGATTTCCAATTTGAATGTATTGGTGATGTTGAAACAGATGATGAAATTAGTATTGGTCAGTCACTAAAATAATTTGCAAGACTACTCATTGCAGTAGAAGAAAAGCGAAGACTGACCCAAAACGCTAATGATGTATTAATTACACCACTTGAGAAACTTCAAAAAGAACAGATAGGTGCAGCAAAAGGTGAAAAGAAGTTTGACAAAGAGAGTGAAAAATATTTCTCTATCCTTGAAAAGCATTTAAATTTATCTGCAAAGAAAAAGGAGTCTCATTTGCAAGAGGCAGATACACAAATTGATTGAGCACATCAGAACTTCTATGAAGCATCATCAGAATGTCTTTAAATGGCTCACGCCTGTAATCCCAGCACTTCGGGAGGCTGAGGCGGGTGGATCACCTGAGGTCAGGAGTTGGAGACCAGCCTGACCAACATGGAGAAATCCCGTCTCTACTAAAAATACAAAATTACTGGGCCTGGTGGCACATGCCTGTAAAGCCAGCTACTCGGGAGGCTGAGGCAGGAGAATCGCTTGGATCCAGGAGGCAGAGGTTGCAGTGAGCCGAGACTGCACCATTGCACTCCAGCCTGGGCAACAAGAGCAAAACTCTGTCTCAAAATAAATAAATAAACAAATAAATAAAAATAAAAGAAAAAAGAATATGTCTTTAAAATTCAAGAGGTTCAAGAAAAACAGAAGTTTGAATTTGTTGAACTGCTTTTGTCATTTCCTCAGGATTTATTTACTTTTTTACCCCGAGGGATATGAACTTGCCCAGGAATTTGCACCGAATAAGCAACAGCTGCAGTTCGACTTGCAGAATACAAGGAATAATTTTGAAAGTACTTGACAAGAGGTAGAGGGGTTGACGCAAAGGGTGAAATCTGCAAGGCTATCTGCATGTCCAGGAGAAATGACCACTTGGTTTTACATGGATTAAACAGCCTTGTTACTAGCTCACCGGAAATGTTCAAAATCTTGTATCCGACGAAAGACAGATTCAATTGACAAACAATTCTGCTTCGACATACAAGTAGTTGAAAGCCATGGGATCATCACATTACAGGCCTTCTCAGAAGCTAATAGGAAACTCTGGCTTGAAGCCACGGATGGGAAGGAACCGATTTATACTCTGCCTGACATTATAAGCAAGAAAGAAGAAATGTATTTGAACGAAGCAGGGTTCAATTTTGTGAGAAACTGCATTCAAGCTGTGGAAACCAGTGGTATCACCATTTAAGGCCTCTACTGAATAGGAGGAGTGAACTCCAAAGTTCAAAAACTCGTGAATATCATATTTTCTCCTAAATCCCCTCCTGATATTGATATTGAACTGTGGGACAATAAGACAATAATGAGTGGGCTGAAAAACTACCTCAGGTGCTTTGCAGCACCACTGATAACTTACAAGTTACACAAAGATTTGTATCATTGCTGTTAAATCTGATGACCAAAACTACAGGGTGGAGGCTGTACATGCATTGGTGTGCACATTGCCAGAGAAAAACAGAGAGATGCTGGACATCTTAATAAAACATCTGGTCAAAGTATCACTGCACAGCCAACAAAATCTCATGACTGTCTAAAATCTTGGTGTCATATTTGGCCCAACTCTAATGAGAGCACAAGAATAAACTGTGGCTGCTATGGTGAATATTAAATTTCAGAATATTGTGTAGAAATTCTGATAGAGCACAGTGAAACGGTTTTTCATACTGCTCCAGACCCAAGCATTCCTCTTCCTCAGCCTCAGTCTCGATCTGGATCCCAAAGGACAACCTCAGTCTCGATCTGGATCCCAAAGGACATGAGCAATCTGCCTCTCTACAGGCTCTAGGAAGCCCAGAGGGATGTGTACTCCATGCCTGGCTGAACTTGATAGTGATTCCTATAGCAGCAGCACAGACAGCACCCCCATGGGGAGCATCAAGTCACTCTCTTCTCTTTCCTCACAACAAAATAGCACTACAAAGTCAGCTTTCTGCCAGCCCAGGGAGAAATCTGGAGGGATTCCTTGGATTGCAACCCAATCTTCCAATGGACAGAAAAGCCTTGGTCTCTGGACAACTAATCCTGAATCAAGTTCTAGAGAAGATGCAATCAAGACAGATGCAGAATCAGATTGCCAGAGTGTTGCTTCGGTCACTAGCCCAGGGGATGTTTCCCCACCCATAGACCTAGTCAAGAAAGGGCCTTATGGGCTTTCAGGACTGAAAAGAGCTTCTGCTTCTTCTCTCAGATCCATTTCTGCAGCTGAAGGAAACATTAGCTACAGTGGATCTATTCAAAGCTTAACTTCTGTAGGTTCCAAGGAGACACCCAAAGCTTCAAACCCAGACCTGCCTCCAAAAATGTGCAGGAGGTGAAGACTAGACACCACCTCAAGCAATGGCTATCAGCGTCCTGGCTCAGTAGTGGCAGCAAAAGCTCAACTGTTTGAAAATGTTGGTTCACCTAAGCCAGTTTCTTCTGGGCACCAAGCCAAAGCCATGTACTCCTATAAAGGAGAGCACAGCGTGAGCTTTCCTTCCCACAAAGAGCGATATTTTCCAGTGTGGACCCATCAGTGGAACCAGGATGGTTAAAGGCAGCTTATGAAGGCAAAACGGGACTAGTTGCAGAAAATTATGTTGTCTTCCTCTACTACTATTTAGTGGATGGCAGTATCTTCATGGTATCCGGTAACAAATAATAAGTGCTATGATTTTATCTGACACAGATACAAGGGGATCAGCCCACTAAGTGAAAACAGTCAATTTCTATCAAGTTCTTCACCAGCAGACTATGTAGCTCCTTATTAATGGAAAAAAAGGTTTAAATGGTTGGCCATTCTTTTTTGGTTGGTTTCTTATTTTAAAATTTCTTGCTTCTGAAAAATTTATTTTTGGATAATACGTAACTCTCCAGAATGTCTCTTCCATAGCAATTGTAGAGTTTCAAATACTTTATTAAGTACTATATGCCATAAACTTGGAAACCAGAAATCTGCTGTATGGATTTTGAGATGTGTCCTTTACTGCCTGGCATTCTCTAAGGATCTCTGAAACTGCTACTTAAAAATGTTACTGAAAAGCTGGTTACCTGCCCTTTGAGTGCCACAGTCCTGACCTGCTTGTTCTTGACACCTTGCATATTACTTCAGAGTTCCCCACTGTGCAGACTCTCAGGTATTAACTGTATAAAACTCTTTACATGCTATTATAATCTGCAATCTCAATCTCTTCTACTTTAAATTAATGTTTCTAGAATAGGTTAAATACACATATACACACAGAACTATGCCTGAGAAAAGTTATGCTTTTACAAATAAAAAGAATAGATTAGCATTAACAAGTAGGGTGAATAACAGTAGGCAGAGTCAGAATCAGAAATAAATACCAGTGAATCAAAATAAAAGAATGAAAAATATTCTGTATTAAAAATTATCAATGTAATGTAAAAGTCTGATAAAAGATTATTCTTTTTCTTTTACCTCTGACTGTTGACCTCTGTACACTGTAATAAGGTGTTGCTGGATGGAACTTCTTGATCTAGGTCCTTGGTGACCTTAGTAGTAATAACAGCATTGCTGGCACCCTAATTACCCTCTGCTGAAAAAGAAGGTAGTTTATCAATGTACCAATCCCTTAGTCTATACTTGGTTTAAACACGCTTGCCATCATCTGGTATCCTGCTAGATTAGAACCTCTTAAAAGCAAATTGGTTTTCTTTCAAAGACCAACCTGACTCCAAAGACAGATACGGAATCCTGCTTCTTCTGCTGCATAAAGAAATCTCAACCTTCATTTTACTTGAACACAGACCGAAGTGTTCCTACTTCTGCGTTGTCTGTGAGCTAGTTCTACGGATGTTCCACTCAGATTTAAAGCTTTTTATTGCACAGGACGTGGATATGAAGCCTAACTCTTGTATCTGATGGCAAGGCATATGTTGTAGCCACAGTACTGGCTATGGTCCCTTTGCTGAAAGAAGCTACAGAAGCACTGATTCAAGCTGTGTTTGTGCTAGAAGTTTTAATCTTGTAGATTTGTGAGGATGGCTCTTTTTCCTTCATAATAGATTACATGTACAAGCAAGTCAGGGCCATATACTGGAGACAGGCTAAAGCTGCTTTTCCCTTAAAGAAAGTTTCCTACAGATAAGGTATTTATGAGCATTGAGAAAGTCAGGACGTGTACTCTAAATCACACAGAGTGTTAATTCCACAGGAAGGCAATGCCAGACATTGGAAGAGGATCACATTCAACTTCTAATAGTAGTTCAATAACAAAACCTTAGCTTTTCAGAAAAAATGTGAAGAAATGGAAATCTGAATCATAATATAAACTTTCTCTACAAGATACTTGGCCTGGTGCAATGTCTCATGCCTGTAATCCCAGCACTTTGTGAGGCCAAGGCTGGTGGATCATGAGGTCAGGAGTTCAAGACCAGCCCGGCCAAGATGGTGAAACACTGTCTCTACTAAAAATAAAAAAATTAGCCGAGTGTGGTGGTGGGCACCTATAATCCCAGCTACTTGGGAAGCTGAGGCAGAAAATTGCTTGAACCTGGGAGGCAGAGGTTGCAGTGAGCTGAGAATGTACCAATGCACTCCAGTTAAAAAAAAAAATTAACCATTTAGATCAATGCTGTCTGGTTAAATATTCTGTGATAATGGAAATATTCTATACTTGCCCTGTCCAATAAAGTAGCCACTCACCAAGTGTGTCTATTGAGCACTTGAAATGTAGCTAGTATGACGGAAGAACTGAATTTTAAATTTCATTTAATTATAACTGATTAAAAGTTAAGTAGCTAGTGGCTACTATACTGAATACCACAGATATATACAACAAATTTTAAAAATTTTCCAAACATGGGAATGGGTCACCTAAATGATTTTAGATACCAAGCTAAATAAAAACATCTGGAGATGATACTATTTTGACTCTAATAATTTTTTTGTTGAAAGCAATATATATATTATATATACACACATATACATATAAATATATACACATACATGTATATATAATCTAGAGGTTTCTTTCCTTTCAAAAATACTTCATACCTGTAACTTAAAAAATATAATTTTATCTTTCTTGTCTTTATTTTGAATTTTCAGTCATTTCAAAGTTAATATGAGCAATAATATCATTAAAAAGTGGGCAAAGGATATGAACAGACACTTCTCAAAAGAAGTTGGCCAACAAACATATGAAAGAAAGCTCAACATCACTCATCATCAGAGAAATGCAAATCAAAACCACAATGAGATACCATCTCATGCCAGTCAGAATGGTGATTATTTAAAAGAGTCAGGATACAATAGATGCTGGTGAAGCTGTGGAGAAATAGGAATGCTTTTACACTGTTGGTGAGGATATACATTAGTTTAATCATTGTGGAAGACAGCATGGTGATTCCCCAAGTATCTAAAACCAGAAATACCATTTGACCCTGCAATCCCATTACTGGGTATATACCCAAAGGAATATAAATCATTCTACTTATTGCAGCACAATTTACAATAGCAAAGACTGGAACCAACCCAAATGCCCATCAATGACAGACTGGATAAAGAAAATATGTCACATATACACCATGGAATACTATGCAGCCATGAAAAATGAATGAGAGCATGTCCTTTGCAGGGACATGGATGAAACTGGAAGCCATCATCCTCGGCAAACTAACACAAGAACAGAAAACCAGACACTGCATGTTCTCATTCAGTGGGAGTTGAACATTGAGAACACATGGACACAGAGAGGGGAACAACATACACCACGGTCTATTGGAGGATAGGGATGAGGGGAGGGAACTTAGAGGATGGGTCAATAGGTGCAGCAAACCACTATGGCACACATATACCTATGCAACAAACCTGCACATCCTGTACATGTATCCTTTTTTTAGAAGCAGCAATAAAAAAAATGATCACTTCATTTCAGGAGGTAGACTTTTCCTCTTAAAGCTTTTCAGATTTTTATCCCAAGGGTTTGGCTTTTTATGCATCTCAATACGTGTAATTTGCAGTTAATACATCAATGCCTTCTGCTCTTGTTACTTCTCTCCTTAAAACAGTACATCTTTTTGATTAACTAAAGTGGTGACTCTCTCTCTCATTTTTTTTTTTTTTGTCAGTTCCTATTGCATTTTTCCCCACTTCGCACTCTGGTATTATAACCTGACACCGAGAACGTTTGTCTCAAGAAAAAAACTGGAAAAACAATGTTTTTCTGGTATAGATTAATTCTGTACTCTTGGCTTTTCCTGATGTATCCAGATTGTTCTATGTAACCAGGAAATTTCACATGCTCTTTCTTTTTCTAAAAAGCCATCCATTCCACCTGGTGGAGGTACTACTTGTTTGTGTGTGTGTGTGTGTGTGTGTGTGTGTGTATTATTATTCTATAATATGGTTTACATATAACTTTAGACATACACTCTTCCAGCGTCTAGTTGAATTAAAGTAGTTTTTCATGGGGTTTAATTTCCAGTTTACTCAAAAGGGCATATACCAAGAGAAATGGTCATATTACAAAAGGTTTTTTTTTTCTCTCTCTCTAAGTAATCCACCTAACAAGCAGATATTTTATGTTTTAAGATAGCTTCTTGTGGTTTGGGCTGTCTTTATTCGGGTTTTGACCTCCTGAAAAAACTAAGTCATCTCTAACACAGGTCTAAGTATTTTTTTCTCTTGACCAGGTAACTTTTGAATTTGTTTTTGAAGTCTTTCCATTATTACTCTGGTTAAATAAGTGACCATTATCTCTCAAGGATATGTAATTCTACTTTAATTAAATATTTTTAGGCTTTTTGCATCCAAACAAATGACAAACTTCCACAGAATCAAATTCAAATTTAAGTCTTTTTCACTTAAAATTGACTAAGGGATTTTATAGTTGGGCTCCTGGGAAGTCTCAAAAGATTTGCCTCCCATTAGGCTTGCTTGATCAGCTCCCAAAATCTTCTCTAGTGTCCATGTGCGTTCTTTCAAAACAATATATAGCATTTCCCTTGCTAGTAAACCCCCAATCTTCTCTTTGTCCTTCACACATATAGAAGACCACCGTGGTTTTCAGTTTTGTTCAGAACTACAATTCTGTGATTCCCAAATAAATTGTATAATTTAGAGATCCATCTTTATTTTGACTTCAATAGTGGTGATAAATTCTGATACAATATTCAAGAATATGTTTTATAACAATACTAAGTCAATTTAGAAATGCATTTTAGTGTGATATAAAATCCTTAACTTTTCTCCTCCACTGACATTATGTATGATTTTGTTATTATTTTACAAGCACTTAAAAATTCTCTATTTTACATAAGGTTTATATTAGATATAATTTTGTGAGGAAAATAAAAGTTCGGTTTTCTATTTGCATTGTGCTAATTCAGACTGCACTTGGTTCTTCATGCACACTGTATAAGCTAAAGTTTAGACAAATTATTGTAAAAACTGATACACATATAGACCATTATAGTGTTATTTTTAAAAGCACAAGAAACTACTTTAAAAGATCACAAGGAGATTACAGCAAATGAATCTTCATATTCATTACCTCAATGAAATATAATTTAACACTAGTTTCGATTTTTTTCCAAAAGACTAATTTTCAAGTGAAAGCTTTAGATCTTTGAAAGTAATAGAATTAAAGATAAAGATAGAAAAGATACATAATTCATTTCAGCAGTTTTCTGAGAAATACCATATTTTCCAAAATATATATGTTCTTATAAGAAATGGATTCTCTTTAGGCTATTAGATTATCAATCTTCTACAATAGGCCAATTTTCAAAGCACTAGGCCTATGTTCACTCAACCAGTCTCATGAAGCAAAAACTGAATTAAGATATTGCATTTATTTTAGTCCACATATTTATCAAGCAAAGAAACTATGGAACAAAGACTCTTTCTTGCTGAAGTTCTTGGGATTTCCATGGTGCTTAATGCATATTTTTTTAAATTGTGAGATCAAAGAACACAAATCTTGAGCCATTGTGTATGTTACCTGGGTAAAAAAAATTAAACTTGATCTTTTCAAATATCTAATGGAATCCCAGGCATTGTGATTTATTAAAATATGAAGTTAAATATTTAAGAGAAAATTAATCACAATGAAATGAGTTGACTTTCTAAGAAAAGCAAGTATGTAATTAAGGAATCATTAGCAGACACTCTCAAAACAATTACAACATTTAAAAGCAATCAACATTACAACTCTTAGGTTGTGTTTTAAATTCCTCATAACCTAAACATATATATTCACTAATTATTCACTTGCCAATATGAACAATGAAAGATGAGTTAGAAAAACCAGAGGCTTTAGTTCAAAAATGACAATCTTTGGTACTGCAGCAAGGAAATAATTAGCTGGTGAAATTAATGACTCCACCTGGCTTTATCTCGGTAATGTTCTGAAATACATGCAATGAACAACTTGACATTGTTTGATGTTCTTAATTCTTTACAGCCATCTCTATTGGTGGTCTTAATAGATCAGATCAATCAGAAATGATCATATTATGAAATGTAAATCACTTCACATGACTTATCTGGAAAATGTGCTTGTACTTACTTGCACCATCTCAAGTTCCAAGAGCCAAAAACATACACATGCTCATGGAGGAGAATTTCCTTTCTGATTTTAGAACAGTCTGAAAGGGTGTGAAAAAATGAAAAAGAAGGGGGAGCTTACAAATAACAAAAATGTATATCCAAATGAAAGTTAGAATGTCTATGGAACTAGTAGTAGTAACAACAGTAGACAAAAGATAGGATGTAGATGTTAAGAAGATGTCTACAAGGGAAGCACAAGACTCCAGATGCTCTTGCTACTAAAATGCAGATTCAAGGTTTACCATCTGTAATATTCTGCTGCCATGTACATCTATGGCCACTAGTACTGTCTAAAAGGAGGATATATATTAAGAAATCATCAAAAAGGACTGCATAGCAGAAACTTTCCTGATATCAAGGGATCAACTTAACTACAATTATATACAGGTGCCAATTTCCTCTGGAGTAAACTACCACACTGGGCCTCATGTACCAGTTAGATAATCCAAGTCAGCCTTTATTGCATAACCTATCTAAAAGATTGGACTCTACATTTTGGCTCTGCAGAACTGAGAGAAGAAATGTATAAATAGGATAGTGATATTGCCTTTGTCTATGGGAATTCTTGAGTCTAATAAAAAAATCTGGGAAAAATCTAACTTCATGATTACACTCGGGCACATAGATGATTAATACGAATGAAGTAACAACCATAAATACAATCATAACCACAAGAACAACAGTAATTCAAATTTTCTCACTTCATAGATGTTCTTACAATGCTTTATTGGTATCTCGTAGGTGCTCTCCCCAAGCCTCAGGTGTTATTCCACAATCTCAGTTGATGCAAAGGCAAACACCACACTCTCCTCTGTTCAATGTCTGCCATCCTTGTCTTTTTGGCCTCTGACTCTTCCCTATACTACTGTCTATGCACTTGAGATCTTCACTGATATAGCTTGGCTCTGTATTTATTGATAAGAATATCTCTTTTCTCTTAGACTAGGCATGACCAAAAGGTTAATCTGGATTCAAAGATTAATGACAATGACCACTCAGTTTTTATTCAAGATCAATTTTATTTGTTGTAAAAACAAACATGGGTTATGTTCCAGACAAACAGATATAAGTGAGTAGACTTATGCCTTTGTGCCTCCTTGACTCTTCACAGGTTGCAAAAACAAATCCTGCCAGCAGGAGGTGGCAGGTTGCTGAGGTGGCTGGTTGCTCTTTGAGCCATCTTGGCCTTGTCTGGCATGCACAGGCCCTGGCACTGCAAAATATTCAGGGAGTAAGAGTGTTGCACAAAGGATTTTACCAACCTCGTCACATTAAGCAGCGTTCAAGGATTTGCTGACCACCACTTAAACAAATTTTGTGTTATGCTATAGCAATGAACTTACTTGTTCTATTTCTAAACACAACATTGGGTTCACACACAGGCCTGGACAAAGCTTCCCACTTCTGAACTATTTACTGATCTTCCTGTTCTCAAAGAATGCAAGATGAATGATGTGCAATACCATGGCTATGGCATGTGACTTTTCTAGACCTGGATGGTTAGTGTCCCAATATTTAACTGATTTTTTGGGGGGTGAAAATATGCCAACAGTTCTTCCTTCTATCATCCCCATCACTACCATACATGTAATGACATAATCATGTCAAAGTGTGTCCTCAGAATCACTATTCCTAGCTGAGTATACTAAGGCTTTCTATCTAGGTCAGTTCATTGTGTCTGTGTCTCCTCTAAACCCTCCTTCATCATGCCTACCTTGAGGAATTCAGCAAGTGATCATTCACACAAGCTAAAGGATTTTAGCTTTCTCTGCCATAAAGATTATTGCTAAAATACACACCATACAACAAACCAACCCATTTCCCACAAATCTTACTGTCTGACTTCTCACAAAATACATAATGACTTTTATTGTGTCTCTTCCTTCTGTGTTTCTCTTTCCTAACTGAACTTTGTTCTTTATCCATGCCTTCTTCCAATCCTGACATATTTTAAAACCTTTAGCATTTCTGCCTATAATATTTGGGTTTTCTCCTTTTCCTATCTTTATTTAATAAGTCCCATACAAATATTTTCCCCGTAATCACAATGTTTTCTTTTCACTTTGCCCAAGAACTGAGTTATGAGTTCCAAATTTGGATAAACTCTACATTGGCTAAGTTTTAGTCATTTGCACTGCTAAGAAAGATGGCAATTCAACATGCTGAAGATGACTTCCTCCCTTATAAAGGGGCTAACACAGAGGGCAATACTGTTCATGCTTCTGAGTCTTGATCACAAGAATTGCTTTAGGCAATTACAATCATGTCTCCTCTGACATATCATATTATTCAAGTGAGACAGAGAAAGAATATGTCCTATGTCACACAGCTGGGTGGTGACAGCTGCTTTAGCATCAGCACACTGCGTTCCCTCTGATTTCTTCATTCATCTCTAAGTAGCAGTAAATCCGGTCCTGAATACTGACTTTGACACTCAGCTTTCTCCACATCCTTCCTGTCACTGCCTTTGAGACTACTTCAGATTCTTCCCTTAGCTTCTATTTCTCCATTTGTAAAATGGGTTGATGAGGGTATCTTCATCAGTAGCTGTGACAATAAAAATGGGATCATCATGCATCCTCCTTAGCCCCATGAGTAAGCTCCCAGTAAGTGAGGTTGTCATCATTACTGGATATTTAAGATTATCTACCTATTTGAAAAACCCTAGTGACAGCGTCTCAGTTGCTTTTCTTTTTGCGTGAATGATCACTTGCTGAATTCATCAAGCAGGCGCTTTAACATTTACCTTCCTTTATTATGCTGGAGCATTTTTCATGTAGGAAGCTTCTGTGGCTTCTCACTATGACTGCTTTGTTTGTTCAAAACTTATACAGGTTGAGTATCCTTTATCTGAAATGCTTGGGTCAGAAGTGTGTTGGGTTTCAACTGTTTTCAGATTTTGGAATATTTTCTTCTATGTAATGAGATATCTTGGGAATGGGACCCATGTCTAAACACAAAATTCACTCATGTTTCATACACACTTAGCCACATACACATAACCTGAAGGTAATCTTATACAATATTTTAAATAATTTTATGCATGAAACAAAGTTTTGAATATGTTTTACTGTGACCCATCACATGAGGTAAGATGTGTGGAATTTTCCACTTGTGGCATCATGTCAGCACTCAAAACATTTTGGATTTTGGAGAATTTCAGATTTTGGATTTTCGAGTAGGTGTGTTCAATCTGTATATATGGGCCAGATTAAGTTGTTTCCTTTAATCCTTGGCTGAAGGAAGCACAGAAGACTTTGGGGCCTCAATCTCTCATATGCAGTGACATTCTCAAAGCCATTGACTCAGCTTCTCACCTGGGTTTCCTTCCAGTGAGCCACAGATAGAAGTCACAGGTGATGACAGGGGCCTGCTGGCTGATGGCATTCCAGTACTGGGTTGTGAAGTTGCTGGTGGTGAAATCAGCATATGGCCTCATCAAAGCTCTCTCAAATGGAATTGGAATTTCAAAGGTTGCCAAGACCTGGAATCCTGGGGGAAAAAAAGAGGGTAAGTGCTAGAGGAGAATAGGAAAATATATGCCCATCATAGTGGAAGGTATTTATAATGGGTCACAACAATAAAGATGAAGGATTTGCTGTGTAGAGTCAAGAATCAATTTCTGAGAACAAGGTAAAGATTTTTATGCTAGGCAAGTGGTTATCTGCAAAATGAAACAATGTGAATGGGTTAAGAATTGGACCATTTATTTGAAACATCTACTCTAAAACAAATTCTTGGGGAAACACATGTAGTCAATAAAAGGGGGTACTGTTCAGAAAAACATAAATCCACATTTAATTCTAAGGTTATCTAGTTTATTCTGAAAGCCCCAAGACAGAGGCTAGAAACTTTATTTTCCTGACTGGACCATTACTGTCAGAACCATTTAGAAAGTTTCTTAACATTTTATTTGAATCTTTATTAAAAGTGTAACTAAAAAATTCTAAAGGCAAGATTTTCTTGTGTTAGCTTACTTTAAATATTTCTCCGGGAATATGTCAGACTCAATTGTCCACTCTGGTATCCAGGGTTTTATTCATAATAGTGTTTTTCTTTTTATATTAATACTTACATTAAGCTTAATTAAGAACATTTTACATACATTTGTGAATTCAGTAGTTCTTTCGAAAAGATACTCATTTGAATTCAATTCTATTTAAGGTATGTAGGTTTTTGCAAAGCATATGCCTAAGCTCATTATTCAATTATGATGTCAGTTGTTATAGTAAAATGATTATTGCCCTACTTAAAAAAATGCCAGCTAAAAATCTATCTGAAAAACATAACTCCTCTTCAGAGAAGATTCTCAAGAATCATCTGGTCCATATTGATTTATACTTTAAAAAGATGGGGGTAAAAAAAAAAGTTATGTACAGGTTGATAGCATAAGAGATTCTGATCTCAACACTGACGTTCTGATCTATATATCCATATACTTGTTCAACATTTCCACCTGGAGGTGTAATAGACATTCACATTTAACAGCTCTAAAATGGGCCTCCTGATACACCCACTGCTAACCACCCCCTTCCCAATACATACACAAACTTGCTATTTCACCAGTCTTCTACCTCTAACCAAATGCTAATTCAATTTGTTTAGTAGTTCAGCCAAAAACTTTGGGGCTATCCTTGATTCATCTCTTTCTTTAACAACCCACACACAGTTGAACAAAATCTATCAGCTCTCTGCTTGAAAAATATCCAGAATCATAATTTCCACCTGCTATCTCTCTGATCCAAACGACTACTGTAGCCTGGAATGTTACAATACTGTCCTAAGTGGTCTCTGCCACTACCCCTGTACCCCTAGTCGGACCTCCATGTAGCAGCCAGAGTGATTCTTGTAAAATGTAACTCAGAGTATATTACAGGAACTTCCCCATTCAGAACCCTTCAATGGAATCTCTTCTCATTTAGAGGCAAAGCCATGGTCTGCAAGGCCTTGCACTCTCTGCATCCTCACTCTCTCTGCCCACCACTCTGACTTCATCTCTTACCGCCCTCCCTCTCAGTGCTTCTGGTGCAGCCATACTGGCCTCCTTGCTGTCCTTGAATATGATTAAAGAACTTCAGCACTTACTGTTTCTTCAACTTGGAATATTTCATCCGCAAGTCTCTCTGATTTGCCCTCTCACTTCTTTCAGGTCTCTACTAAGATGACACCTTATCAGAGAGACTTTCTTTGGCCATCACATATCAAATAGCAGCCTTCCCACAATACTATTTACTTCTTTAATCTGTTTTATTTTTCTGCAATCACTCAACCATATCTAATGCATATTTCTCCTTTCTAAGATTTAAGTACCATAACAAAATTTTGTCTGTTTTGTTTGAACCTATACAGTACCTTGAAAAGTGGCTGACAGGTAATCAGTGCCTAATAAACATTTTTTGACTAAACGAATCAATAAATATCTCAGCAACATACACTTACTTTCCTTTTCTGAAATCTATATCAATCCTTCAATCCTTCCTTTAGCCATTTCAAATATATTTATTTAGCATTTAACACTTGCCAGGCACTGTGGTAGATGCTGAGGTAAAAAAAATTACATATGATATATTGTCTTTAGAGAACTGGCAATCTGGTGGGAGATGTGGACAATTCGTGATTACAATATTTTGCCTGAGTATTCTGCTAGAGGCCAGTACAATATGCACTGGAGGAATACAAAAGAAGCATCTAGCTCTGTCTGGGTGCCAGGAAGGGGAGGGGTGGGTCTGGGTTAGGAAAGGCTTTCTGAGAAAGCTGTCCAAATGGTAATAGCAAGCATTTACTAAAGTGTTCACTGTTCTAACCACTGTACTAAGCACTTTATCTCACTACATTCTCCCAAGAGCTCCCTAGAATAGAATAATTATTATTCTCATTGACAGATAAAAAAATTGATTTACAGGGAGAAACTGAGAGACTTTTTCAAACTGATACAACTAATAAGTAGTGGAGTCTAGTAAATGGTGGGACACATACCAGCATGTAACATCTATGTGAGCATGGATTTCTGTTTAGTGATATATCCTCAGCACCAAGAATAATGCCTATTTAATGAATACAGGAGTGAGTGAATGAGCTATGATGTGAATCCAAGTCTATTAGATCTCAAAGCCCAAGACTTTTAACAATCAAGCTACTGTCTGTCTGATGTGAGGGACAAGTAGAAACTCATGCACATGTAGAAAATGTAATTTGGCAATTGAAAACTGCACTCTACATCCTCACAGGTCAAAGAACAAATTTGAATGAAAAATGTTTAAGGATTAGAGAGTAATGATAACATAAACATTATACAACAAAATGTGTGGGATACAGCCAAAGTGGCATTTGAGGGAAATATCCAGCCATAAATGATGTATTAGACAAGCCAAATATTCGTGGGCTATATTTCTAAGTTAAAGAGAAGAAAAACATAATCAAAGAAAACAGGAGGAAGGGGAAAAAAGAGATAAGGCAATACATCTATGCAATAGAAAACAAAGCAGCATAATAAAGAGTCAATAGGCTGGGCATGGTGGCTCATGCCTGTATTCCCAGCACTTTTGGAGGCTAAGGTGGGTGGATCACCTGAGGTCAGGAGTTCAAGACCAGCCTGACCAACATGGAGAAACCCCATCTCTACTGAAAATACAAAATTAGCCAGGTGTGGTGGCACATGTCTGTAATCCCAACTACTCTACTCAGGAGGCTGAGGCAGGAGAACTGCTTCAACCCGGGAGGCAGAGGTTGTGGTGAGCCAAGAAATTGCCATTGTACTCCAGCCTGGGCAACAAGAGTGAGACCCCATCTCAAAAAAAAAAAAAAAAAAAAAAAAAGAGAAAGAAAGAACAAAGAAAAAAGTCAATAAAGGCCAAAGAAGTAAATACATTTTAAAACAGACAAAATCTTAGAAAAAGAGACAAATATAATTTACTAAAACTGATTCCAGCATAAAATAGAGCCTGCAAAATTCTTTAACTATTAAAGACACTGAAGCAATAAAAAGTCTTCTCACAAAAAATTATGAATCCAGATAATTTAAAGGTGATTTTCACTTACTGTAGCCTTGTAGTATAGTTTGAAGTCAGGTAGCGTGATGCCTCCAGCTTTGTTCTTTTGGCTTAGAACTGACTTGGCGATGTGGGCTCTTTTTTGATTCCATATGAACTTTAAAGTAGTTTTTTCCAATTCTGTGAAGAAAGTCACTGGTAGCTTGATGGGGATGGCATTGAATCTGTAAATTACCTTGGGCAGTATGGCCATTTTCACGATATTGATTCTTCCTACCCATGAGCATGGAATGTTCTTCCATTTGTTTGTATCCTCTTTTGTTTCATTGAGAAGTGGTTTGTAGTTCTCCTTGCAGAGGTCCTTCACGTCCCTTGTAAGTTGGATTCCTAGGTATTTTATTCTCTTTGAAGCAACGGTGAATGGGAGTTCACTCATGATTTGGCTCTCTGTTTGTCTGTTATTGGTGTATAAGAATGCTTGTGATTTTTGTACTTTGATTTTGTATCCTGAGACTGCTGAAGTTGCTTATCAGCTTAAGGAGATTTTGGGCTGAGACAATGGGGTTTTCTAGACATACAATCATGTCATCTGTAAACAGGGACAATTTGACTTCCTCTTTTCCTAATTGAATACCCTTTATTTCCTTCTGCTGCCTAATTGCCCTGGCCAGAACTTCCAACACTATGTTGAATAGGAGTGGTGAGAGAGGGCATCCCTGTCTTGTGCCAGTTTTCAAAGGGAATGCTTCCGGCTTTTGCCCATTCAGTATGATATTGGCTGTGGTTTTGTCATAGATAGCTCTTATTATTTTGAGATACGTCCCATCAATACCAAATTTATTGAGAGTTTTTAACATGAAGGTTGTTGAATTTTCTCAGAGGCCTTTTCTGCATCTATTGAGATAATCATGTGGTTTTTGTCTTTGGTTCTGTTTATATGCTGGATTACATTCATTGATTTGTGTATATTGAACCAGCCTTGCATCCCAGGGATGAAGCCCACTTGATCATGATGGATAAGCTTTTTGATGTGCTGCTGGATTCGGTTTGCCAGTATTTTATTGAGGATTTTTGCATCAATGTTCATCAGGTATATTGGTCTAAAATTCTCTTTTTTGGTTGTGTCTCTGCTCGGCTTTGGTATCAGGATGATGCTGGCATCATAAAATGAGTTACGGAGGATTCCCTCTTTTTCTATTGATTGGAATAGTTTCAGAAGGAATGGTACCAGTTCCTCCTTGTACCCTGGTAGAATTCGGCTGTGAATCCATCTGGTCCTGGACTCTTTTTGGTTGGTAAGCTATTGATTATTGCCACAATTTCAGCTCCTGTTATTGGTCTATTCAGAGATTCAACTTCTTCCTGCTTTAGTCTTGGGAGGGTGTATGTGTCAAGGAATTTATCCATTTCTTCTAGATTTTCTAGTTTATTTGTGTAGAGGTGTTTGTAGTATTCTCTGATGGTAGTTTGTATTTCTGTGGGATTGGTGGTGATATCCCCTGGCCAGGTACTCCTCTGAGACAAAACTTCCAGAGGAACGATCACACAGCAGCTTTTGTGGTTCACGAAAATCTGCTGTTCTACAGCCAACGCTGCTGGCACCCAGGCAAACAGGGTCTGGAGTGGACCTCTAGGAAATTCCAACAGACCTGCAGCTAAGGGTCTTGTCTGTTAGAAGGAAAACAAACAAACAGAAAGGACATCCACACCAAAAACCAATCTGTACATCACCATCATCAAAGACCAAAAGCAGATAAAACCACAAAGATGGGGAAAAAAATGAGCAGAAAAACTGGAAACTCTAAAAAGTGAGCATCTCTCCTCCTCCAAAGGAACGCAGCTCCTCACCAGCAACAGAACAAAGCTGGATGGAGAATGACTTTGATGAGTTGAGAGAAGAAGGCTTCAGATGATCAAACTATTACGAGCTACAGAAGGAAATTCAAACCAAAGGCAAAGAAGTTGAAAACTTTGAAAAAAAGTTAGATGAATGTATAACTAGAATAACCAATACAGAGAAATGCTTAAAGGAGCTGATGGAGCTGACAGCCAAGGCTCGAGAACTACGTGAAGAATGCAGAAGCCTCAGGAGCCGATGTGATCAACTGGAAGAAAGGGTATCAGTGATGGAAGATGAAATGAATGAAATGAAGTGAGAGGTGAAGTTTAGAGAAAAACGAATAAAAAGAAATGAACAAAGCCTCCAAGAAATATGGGACTATGTGAAAAGACCAAATCTACATCTGATTGGTGTGCCTGAAAGTGACGGAGAATGGAACCAAGTTGGAAAACACTCTGCAGGATATTATCCAGGAGAACTTCCCCAATCTAGCAAGGCAGGCCAACATTCAGATTCAGGAAATACAGAGAACGCCACAAAGATACTCCTCGAGAAGAGCAACTCCAAGACACATAATTGTCAGATTCACCAAAGTTGAAATGAAGGAAAAAATGTTAAGGGCAGCCAGAGAGAAAGGTCGGGTTACTCACAAAGGGAAGCCCATCAGACTAACAGCGGATCTCTTGGCAGAATCTCTACAAGCTAGAAGAGAGTGGGGGCCAATATTCAACATTCTTAAAGAAAAGAATTTTCAACCCAGAATTTCACGTCCAGCCAAACTAAGCTTCATAAGTGAAGGAGAAATAAAATACTTTACAGACAAGCAAATGCTGAGAGATTTTGTCACCACCAGGCCTGCCCTAAAAGAGCTCCTGAAGGAAGCACTAAACATGGAAAGGAACAACCGATAGCAGCCACTGCAAAACCATGCCAAATTGTAAAGACCATCAAGGCTAGGAAGAAACCGCATCAACTAATGAGCAAAATAACCAGCTAACATCATAATGACAGGATCAAATTCACACATAACAATATCAACTTTAAATGTAAATGGACTAAATGCTCCAATTAAAAGACACAGACTGGCAAATTGGATAAAGCGTCAAGACCCAACAGTGTGCTGTATTCAGGAAACCCATCTCACGTGCAGAGTCACACATAGGCTCAAAATAAAAGGATGGAGGAAGATCTACCAAGCAAATGAAAAACAAAAAAAGGCAGGGGTTGCAATCCTAGTCTCTGATAAAACAGACTTTAAACCAACAAAGATCAAAAGAGACAAAGAAGGCCATTGCATAATGGTAAAGGGATCAATTCAACAAGAAGAGCTAACTATCCTAAATATATATGCACCCAATACAGGAGCACCCAGATTCATAAAGCAAGTCCTGAATGACCTACAAAGAGACTTAGCCTCCAACACAATAATAATGGGAGACTTTAACACCCCACTGTCAACATTAGACAGATCAACAAGACAGAAAGTTAACAAAGATACCCAGGAATTGAACTCAGCTCTGCACCAAGTGGACCTAATAGACATCTACAGAACTCTCCACCCCAAATCAACAGAATATACATTTTTTTCAGCACCACACCACACCTATTCCAAAATTGACCACATAGTTGGAAGTAAAGCTCTCTTCAGCAAATGTAAAAGAACAGACATTATAACAAACTATCTCTCAGACCACAGTGCAATCAAACTAGACCTCAGGGTTAAGAAACTCACTCAAAATGGCTCAACTACATGGAAACTGAACAACCTGCTCCTGAATGACTACTGGGTACATAACGAAATGAAGGCAGAAATAAAGATGTTCTTTGAAACCAACGAGAACAAAGACACAACATACCAGAATATCTGGGACACATTCAAAGCAGTGTGTAGAGGGAAATTTATAGCACTAAATGCCCACAAGACAAAGCAGGAAAGATGCAAAATTGACACCCTAACATCACAATTAAAAGAACTAGAAAAGCAAGAGCAAACACATTCAAAAGCTAGCAGAAGGCAAGAAATAACGAAAATCAGAGCAGAACTGAAGGAAATAGAAACACAAAAAACCCTTCAAAAAATCAATGAATCCAGGAGCTGGTTTTTTGAAAGGATCAAAAAAATTGATAGACCACTAGCAAGACTAATAAAGAAGAAAAGAGAGAAGAATCAAATAGACACATTTTCTTAATTCAGTCTATCATTGTTGGACATTTGGGTTGGTTCCAAGTCTTTGTTATTGCGAATAGTGCTGCAATAAACATACATGTGCGTGTGTCTTTATAGCAACATGATTTATAATCCTTTGAGTATATACCCAGTAATGGGATGGCTGGGTCAAATGGTATTTCTAGTTCTAGATCCCTGAGGAATCGCCACACTGACTTCCACAGTGGTTGAACTAGTTTGCAGTCCCACCAACAGTGTAAATGTGTTCCTATTTCTCCACATCCTCTCCAGCACCTGTTGTTTCCTGACTTTTTAATGATTGCCATTCTAACTGGTGTGAGATGGTATTTCATTGTGGTTTTGATTTGCATTTCTCTGATGGCCAGTGATGATGAGCATTTTTTCATGTGTCTTTTGGCTGCATAAATGTCTTCTTTTGAGAAGTGTCTGTTCATATCCTTTGCCCACTCTTTGATGGGATTGTTTGTATTTTTCTTGCAAATTTGTTTCAGTTCATGTGGCACATATACACCATGGAATACTATGCAGCCATAAAAAATGAGTTCATGTCCTTTGTAGGGACATGGATGAAGCTGGAAACCATCATTCTCAGCAAACTATCGCAAGGACAAAAAACCAAACACTGCATGTTCTCACTCATAGGTGGGAATTGAACAATGAGAACACATGGACACAGGAAGGGGAACATCACATGCCAGAGCCTGTTGTGGGGTGGGGGCAGGGGGGAGGGATAGCATTAGGAGATATACCTAATGCTAAATGACAAGTTAATGGGTGCAGCACCCCAACATGGCAGATGTATACATATGTAACACACCCGCATTTTGTGCACACATACCCTAAATCAAAGTATAATAAAAAAAAGGTAGGTATCAAAAACATAACAATTCAAACTCTCTTTTAATTAAAGTTGGTTCTTGTATTGGTAGTAAGTAGGGAGCTTGGCTGGAGAGATGTGTACAAGTGTAGATGGAAGTCCCCGGGTAAAGCTCTTGTTTGGGAAGGTTCATTTGATTGTATGACATGTTCCTCCATTCTCTCTCTCTCTCTGTCTCTGTCTTTTGTTGTTGTTGATGTTGTTGTTGTTGTTGTTGTTCTAAGAATCTAGAATGAAAACCACAAGGCCAGGGTTTGCTACCAAAGACCACTCTCTCCTTTGCAGAAAGAGCTGCTTCTGAGTGAAATAGAAGGACAAGGGTGCCAAATTAACTCCTCTCCACAAAGTGACGCCACGTGGAAAAGTACTTGAGAAGCTCTGTAAAGACGTGGTAAAAGCTTACCAAAGACAGTAGCATTATCCTTTCCTTACACACAAAGTGGAGGGAAAGCGTGGGTAAGTGGTGTGTCTAAAAGCATTGCTTTAAATTATACAGCCATTTGTAAACATTCATTTTTTCTTAACTACATGTCGTTTGTAAATTGGACAAAAAATGCATATTTGTCATGGAAAAATTAGGAAATAAAGATATTAGCATAAAAGAGGAAACAACGAATCTTAATTACCCATAATCCCATGACTTCATGTTTGTGTGAGATTATATAATAATATTGTTTCATGATCTGCCATTTTCACTCAGTGACATATTTTGCACGTGAAATACATTTTACTTAAATATTTGTATAATTTGAGTAGTTATTACCTTAAGACTACTGGAAAGAAATCCCTTAGTTCTTCTACTGCACTCATTTCTTCTCTACAGCATTAATTTCTGGGGTAAATCCAGCTCTTTGGCTTACATGGCCGTGTAGTTCTGAAGTTAGCTACGCAGAACTTAGCCACATTTCCCAGAATAGGATGTATGGTACAGCAGAATTCTTATTGAACTTGAAGTCAGAAGAACTTGCTCCTTCACTTACTATGGGTGACCTTGGACAGTATACTTGATTTCTTTGAATCTCATCAGTGAAATGAGTATGGGAATGTCTACCTTAACTGTGTGATGACAGAATTTGTGAGGATGAACTGAACAACTATATAAAAGTGGGAAATGCTGAAGAGCTCTACAAATGAAAGACATTAATAATATTAACTGAAATAGATTCCCTAAATACTATGTGTAAGATCCTACCTTGATTTACCTCATTTATTCATCAAATCCACTGTCTGACAGAAGTATTATCATTAGTTATATTTTATAGTCTAAACAAATCTAGGCAGAAAGGTCAAATAATTTGCATAAGCTCACACAATCAGTGACTTAGATTTGATCCAATCTATTTCACTCTATAGTGTTGGTCCTTTCCCCCGATAGTAGTAAAAACTGTGGGCTCCATTGTTAGCCTGCCTGAGATCAGACGCCATCTCCAACTAGGCAAGTTACCTTTTCTGCCTGTTTCACTCTTCAAAAATTAGAGATACAATAATACCGACCTGATTTCTTTGGGTTTCATAAGTAGGAAATAAAATAATACATAGAAAAGACTTGGAATATTGCCTGACACAAAATAGTTGCCTTAAAACGTTAATTATTATTATTTTCAATGTTGCCAAGAGAACAAACCCTGTGTGGTGAATTTGCATATGTAAACCTGTTAAACTAATACACAGTCTTTCTTTTCTCATAATATTGTCGCACTTGCACCTTATGTCCTAAGTTTTCTAGTAATCTTGAATGTACATAATGTTTGGTTGTACAAATAAATTTTCCTTTGTGAGGGAATTAGTTGTAATTGAGGGTAGAGTCAAAGTTTGTTCAGCTTAGTGAGCATTTAAAGGGAGCTAATAAACACCATGACTTGTATTTGAAAGTAGAAAATACCGACTTTCAATTGTCATTTCCCCCAAGGAAACCATTAACCAGCACAATTATTTTTAAATATCAACCTGAAATAACACTGTATTTTTATTGCTATTCTTTCTCTCTCCTTCTCTCTCTTTGGGATACAGTTTGGCTTTGAAAAAATATGGTATATATGCAGTGTTTGGTCAAATAATTTAGCACTATGGAAAAGGTTGTGAACCAGTCATAGTATTTGAGGTTGTAAGAAGAAACCTTTGCAAAGGTAGTGGCTGCACAAATGTATTAACTTAGTAATACAAAGTAGGGAGTTCTGAAACTGTGGTGGAAATATTGCCTGCCTTGACTACCTGTTCTTTTTGAGTCCGTTTGCTGATCAGAACTCAGGTAACTTAAAAGTCATGCACCCTGGAAAGGAGTAAAGAAAGAGGAAAGATCCTCAGCGGCTATACAAGTGAGAGATATGGCAGAGTTCTAATAAGATTGAGTAAAAGCTTGATACTGTCTTACATGAAAGGAGCAAATAATTGTTCTACCTGGAATGTCCGGGCCCCAATTCACAAATGCATTCTTACCTTTTGAACTGAATAATGATCTCTTTCCCGATAAACTGTTCTAAGACAAAAAATCTGAAAGGAAAATTGTTGCACACACATCATATTCTTATATTCTGTATTTTCTGGGACAGTCTGTTTCAGATTAGATGATGAGTCCTAATTTAGGTTTGCAAAATATTATCAAGGCAAATCTTTATGAAGATTTTATTGAGATATTATTTTATAACAAAAAAATGGGATAACTGTAATGTTCAACAAAAAGATTGGTGGTAGAAGGAAGGAAGATGTTGGAGTGTTCAGTAACCTTACCCCAGAATGCTGCAGTACAAATTCTGTGAGAAGTCATTCTTGTGTAGTAGAGGCATTCATTTTTCTCCTAATATCCCTTCTGAAAATTCCCTTTTACTAGTCAGCTCTTAGCTTCTTGGAAGGAAGGCCCTTCGTCTAGGACAATGTTCATCTCACCACATAAAAATTCACAATTCATGGCACGTTAGTTCAATAAAATATTATGCTTTCTATGAATGATAATTATAAAAACTTGCTATAAATGGAAGCGAGTTTAACATTAAATCACATGAAACAGACATATTAACAAAAATAGATACATTAGAGCAATTGAATTATACATGCTTTTTTCCTTCAAAAATTTTCCTTCATGTTATTTTCACATTCTTTTAGCAGCAAATGACAATGAACTGCCATTGATTTTATTTTATTTTTTGAACTTAAGTAGTGTATCCACAAGTACACCATTGCCCTGTCCAATCTTTAGGGGAGATATTCTATTATCTAAAACTCGGTAAATTGACCTATCATGTTGTTGGTGATATCTTATTTAGGTAAAAATATTAGGTATTTAGAACAATGCATTTCTGAATATTTTGACTGATATTATTATAGATGGATTTAGAATCTGCCCTTTAGGGGTCCAGAAGGAGGTAATGTTTGGATATCATTAGGCTAGAATATTTTATTGTCCTACAAAAATGTTGATAAATTGCTTATAAGGGCTTATGTATTAGTAATGACCATGTCACCAAAATAATAAACCCAAATATGATAAGAATCACAATCAGAAAATATATTTTTTCTTCTTTTATTTACAACCAACCAAACAAAATAACATAGCTATAATTTTGTCAATCTCAGAACAATAAATTTAAGTAAAATAGAACATAAAGAATTTTTATCACAGATGAATCAGATGGAAACTATCCAGAAAACACCCAAATATGTGTATTCCTCAGTTAATACTCAGTCTAGGTGCCAAAGGGAAACCACACGCTTCCATTTATCTATATGATTTGGCAACTTTAATTTGTAAGGGGTCCAACAGGTGTTTAATTTCATAGGCTGATATAGTCAATATCACTAGGTCCATATTTTTTAGATTTAAATAACTATATAATTCTGATTTCTCTTTGTTAGACTGTACTGATCTGATCATGGAGGAATAATCTAATATGCCTTAGATTATGTTGGAACTTCCCAGAACTTTCCTCAGGGCTGCCTTTATCTCCTTATTCTGGAGGCTATAGATAAGGGGATTGAAGAGTGGGGTCACCATAGCATAGAACAAAGTTTCAATTTTCTGCATCCCTGTAGAATGTCCGAGTCCTGGGCTCACATACATGACCATAAGAGAGCTATAGCACAGTGATACCACAGCCAAATGAGACCCACAGGTAGAGAAGGCCTTATGTCTCCCAGTGCTTGAAGGCATACCCAACACAGCTTTCAGGACAAGAGTATAGGATCCAATAATAAAGAGGAAGTTACCAAAAATAACTAATGAGCTTAGAGTGTAGCAAAACAGTTGGATTCTTGGGGCAGAAACACAATCCAATGCAAATCGTGGCCCTGGGTCACACACAACATGGTCAATAATGTTTGGGCCACAGAAGGGCATCTGAGAGATGAGAACAATGGGGATCAGGAACCACAGAAATCCACAAACCCAGCACAGTATGACCAGTTTGGCACAGAGATGCCCAGTCATGATATTAGGATAGAGCAAGGGACGGCAGATAGCAAGGTACTGATCAAAGGCCATCACAGTCAAAAGCAAGCATTCTGATGTACCCAAAGAGAAGAAGAAATAAAACTGGAGAAAACATCCAGCAAAGGAGATGTTTTTTTTCTCTGAAAGGAAGTTGACCAACATCTTGGGAACTGTAGAAGAGACATACCATATCTCTAAAAAGGAGAAATTTCCCAGGAACATGTACATGGGAGTGTGAAGTCGCCAGTCACACCACAGGACAAAAGCAATGGCTCCATTCCCTGTTATAGTCAGTGCATATGTTGTAGTAAAGAGTGAGAAGAGGAAGATCTGAATTGTCCACTCACAAGTGAAACCTTGGAGTATAAATTCATTTACAAAAGCAAAGCTGGAATTTGGCTCAGAGACATTCATTAGGCCAGTGACCTGCAAGGTCAAGGGACACATTATCAGTCAGGACTCTTTTATAAAATGTGTTCCTTTTTTAAGAATGAAGAGAAGATAATGAACATGAAGTCATTTTTCAAAAGAATAATTAGGAAGAGAATGTAGTTTACTTTTTCTCGGCTATACAGTATATGAGTTTTGGGCTTCGTAGGTAGCTGATTGAACAAAAACAAACTTCTGCCATCTTCTAAATCTCTCCTTAATATGCAATCGTGATAGAACTAGGTAAAGTTAAATTCCTTTTGTAAGGTCATTATTTTGAGACAGAAATGATTGAATATAGTTTCTGGATAGCATACAACTCAAAGTTAGTACTTTGAGAAGGCACAAATGTGTTAGTTTCTTACTGCAAACCCAACTTATGGTGCAATAGACTCAGTAAAGAAAGTTTTGACCATTTACATTTCAGCTAAACATATTACTTAACATTATTTACATATGCAAAAGAAATGCACATATTTTAAAATAAATTGGTAGCAATCACGTTAAAGCCATTATCTCTGAATTTCTTTTGCTGCTGTTGTTAGCTTAAGTGATTATCTAATGTTACTCACCAATATTGATTTTTAATATTAATATTGTAAAGCTGCAATGTTTTCTGTAGAAAGCAAAGGCTTTAAGCTTCTGATTAATCTTTTACCTTAATTTCATAAACTGATATAGTGATTATTATATTGATAAAATCAATATAATATTGATTTAGTCATTATGTACAAAAGTTTGCAAAGATCTAGACATTAAACTTTACTTTTGAAGGCATTTCATAAAATTTTGAGATTGATGTTCCTTATATGCTTTTTTTTAAAATTGAAAATTTTTACCAGATGACAGAAATCAAACACTTATTTTGTTATAGGTAAACTTCCTTCTTCCTACATTCTTATAAAAATATATTAGGGATTTGCGTTACCTGGAAAAAAACTTTTCTTTTCCTCAGAAATATGGAGGGATGTGAGTCCTAGATGTCAAGAGGACATTTTGAGCAGAAACACAAATTTTCAAAAGTTTTTCTTCCAACTTGCTCTCTACACCAGTGCTCTGGGAAGTCTTTTGGTATGACTAGTTAGAAGTTATGTTTGTGCTTCTTTTAGTAATATATGTCTCTTTAATAGGCTTCCAACCAGAATCATTAATAAACCAACATTAAGAAATTATGGAATGAAAAGGGATTGACACAGGAGTGTCATGATTCTCAGCAGTGCTCAAAAGGTGAAGCCATCATCGTTTTGACAGGAACCAAATCTCTAAATGATTTATTTTATAAATCATATTATGTCTTCAGCTAGACAGAGTTTTATTGTGGCCGGCCCCAAAATTAAAAATGCACTTTATGAAACTCACATTCTCCTGGGATGTAGCCTCTATAGCATTAGGAAAGTTATCTTCCAAGATGAATCTTTAAAAAGTTAATGATTACATATTCTCTGAAGAATCAGTAAAGAGTAATGACAACTATTCTAAGGCATCATTATTTACAAAGAGCTTGCCCACCAGACGGATTCCAGAAAATCTTCTGGAAGACACAGTCTGAGGAGAAATAAGATACAAAATGTTACCAAAACTTTTGACATAATGTTTAGGAACATTTCAAGTGTTACTGTGCATATATTGGAGGATATACAGCCCAGTGAGGAAAATACTGAGGTTCCAACATTGTCACACATTGAACAAAAACTTACAGAATTTAGAAATAACTTTTAGAAGGATGGCACTTTTTTGCCAGAATCCTTTAGATATGAGAAGAAAGTATAAGAAGTAGCAACATTTAAGTTAATTAACAGAAATACTTCAGAGGAACATGTGACTTCCCAATTAATAGAGAGAAGTATTTACTTGTATTTATTAGTATCTCTTCTATTTTTACTTTATGACATTTAGGGGCCAACATAGTGTAACTAAACACTCATGTGTGAGTGAATGCTCATACCAAGTGCTGTGAAGTAGTTGAGGATATCAGGGATGTATGCCCTAGGACCACAGACATCTGTCTAAAAGCAAACTTCCACTTTGAGAGACTACAGAGGAAAATGTTTATTCAGACCTTTATTATCACTTAGTCATAATACTTAGAAACTTCTAAAACATAGCTTTGATATTCTCGTCTGCTCAAAAGCTGTCAATGATTTCAAGTTCCCAAGTTCTCCACAAATTGACTTCAAATGACTTTCTTGGTGTTATTTTTCCCTACTCTCTTTTGCAGATAAATTAGACAGTAGACAGCATTTCATTCTCTGAATAGCTTCAGTTTCTTATGTTCTCTTCTTTGTGATCATTTTCTGTATTTGGAATTCTATTTATCTCCATCTACATCTGTACAAACCCTCCTTCAAGGTCCAGTTCAAAAGACATTTTTTTTTCCCAAAATGTTTTCCTCTCTTCCCCTAACCAAAGCACATTTTCCATTGTTGTTTGGTTTTTTTTTTTTTTTTTTTTTTTTTGAGACAGAATCTCGCTCTGTCCCCAGGCTGAATGCAGTGTCATGATCTCAGCTCACTGCAACCTCTGCCTCCCAGGTTCAAACAATTCTTCTGCTTCAGCCTCCTGAGTAGCTGGGAATGCAGGCATGCGCCACCACACCCAGCTAATTTTTGTATTTTTAGTACAAACGGGGTTTCACCGTGTTGACTAGGATGGTCTCTATCTCTTGACCTTGTCATCCACCTGCCTTGGCCTCCTGAAGTGCTGGGATTACAGGCGTGAGCCACTGCACCCAGCCCCATCCTTGCATTTTTATTTTACCATCTTTGTGTCTTTGTCATGATACTAATCACAAGCTGCCTTATATCAGTATTCATCCATGATATTGGCTTGAAGTTTTTTTTGTTGTTGTTGTGTCTCTACCAGGTTTTGGTATCAGGATGATGCTGGCCTCATAGAATGAGTTGGACAGGGGTCCCTCCTCCTCAGTTTTTTTGGAATCATTTCAGCAAAAATGGTACTGGCTCTTCTTTGCATATCTGGTAGAATTTGGCTGTGAATCCATCTAGTCTTGAGCTTTTTAAAATATATATATTTTTTGGTTGGTAGGCTATTTATTACAGATGCAATTTTGGAGCACGTTATTGGTGTGTTCAGGAAGTTACCCATCTCTTACAGGTTTTCAAGTTTGTGTGCATAGAGGTGTTTGTAGTAGTTTCTGATGGTTATTTTTTATTTCTGTGGGGTCAGTGGTAATATGGTCTTTTTCATTTCTAACTGTGATGTTTCTTTCAAAAGATTAGAATAACTAGTAAAAATTATACTTATTCTGAATATGGCTTCTAGGTGTTATTAAATGTTTACACCTTTAATTTACTCTGGTCAACAATATAAGTTACCTTTGGGGCTTTTTTCTTAAATAATCTTGTCACTAAATCAGTATACTTAATAAACAGCCTAGTTAAATGAACATGCATTTGAACATTAGACTCTAGAGAGACAAGATTAATTAACCTTTGACACAAGAAGCTCACAGTGCAACAGGCCACTGTGATAGGACAAAAGTCCTAGGAAGTCTATGTCGGCAAAATCCCACCTAAGGGCTAAACTTTAAGCTCTATTCACGTTTAGCTAATTAAGTAAATATACCACCATCCCATGCTGATAGTGATGGGCAGTCAAGGGGGAGGTTGACTTCTACAGGGAGGCGGGAGGAGGATGTGTTTCTGCACTTTGCTTCTTCAATCAGGCACTCTGTGACTTCTTCATTTCCTTCCTCTCCTCTTTAAGCCCTGGCACCTTGGCTCAGAAGCACAAGAGGGCAGGATAATCCTCATTGTCTCATTCACACTGACTGAAGCCCTGGGCTTTGAAATACACACTCACTCCTCCCAAGCTCTACTCACTGATGCTGGGAGCAATTTAGAGCAAATGTTATCCAAAGTGACATTACCTAGATCACTAGGTTCTTTCTTTCACCCACCTCCAATCCTGCTGTTCTTTCAGTTCTAAGTCAAGGATACTACAAGTTTACACTTTGCAGGAGCCCCTGGAATATTTGAGGTTTCATACTGCACATCAAAACTATTTCTCACTGACACAATCATCTATTAAAAATTTTGTTGAATTTCTGCCATTTTAATGGCTATCTATCTGCCTTCGTATGAACTTCTTGGTATTATAGTAGTCAGTGTGCTTCCAAATTAATCCCAATTCGTTTACTTTTATTTTAAGATGAAATGTAGGCCGAGCATGGTGGCTCACACCTGTAATCCCAGCACTTTGGGAGGCTGAGGCGGGCGGATCATGAGGTCAGGAGTTCGAGACCAGCCTGGCCAACATAGGGAAACCTGGTCTCTACTAAAAATACAAAACAAACTAGCCAGGCATGGTGGCGGGTGCCTGTAATCCCAGCTACTTGGGATGCTGAGGCAAGGAGAATCATTTGAACCTGGGAGGCGGAAGTTGCAGTGAGCCGAAGTCGCACCACTGCACTCCAGCCTGGGTGACAGTGCGAGACTCCGTCTAAAAAAAAAAAAAAAAAAAAAAAAAAGATGAAATGTAGCTTAGAAACCATTCTTCCATAAAACCAAAACCATATCTCTTTAAGAGGATGTTGGAAAATCAGCCTTTCTCATAAAGTGGTTTCCCCCACAAATTTAAACACATTACTCCATTATAAGTTTAGAGAGTATTTTAAAAAACTATTATGCTTCAGCTTTTCCTGCACCTTTCTCTTTCTTGTCTCTTACTTCCTTCTCTGTGATCTGGTCCAACAATTATTGCCATGGCAACAAAGGCTCTGTGACATCTCTAGTAAGCTCATTGTCTTCTGCCGTATTAAACTTTAATGGGTAGCTGGTAGACAATTAACACTCTGGGAGGGCTCAAACCACATAACCAAATGTGCCAAGATAATCCTGAGCTCACTCATTGTCAGGTAAGACAAAGTATTTTAGCGCAATAGCAAACAATTAATTAAACAAACAAAAACAGGAAGGCTTTCTTGGGCCAGGAAGCCATTAATTAGCTAAGCTCAGAGCCACTCATTGAAACTAGGTCCTGACTGGGTTTCTGGATTTGACCACTGGGCAGAAACTAGGACCCGAAACCAATTAGAATGAAATGGTCCCCAGATATTGTTTTCATGTAAGGATAGGTTTGGAAGTATCCAGACTTAGTGGTGGGCCAGGCCTCCCCTGTGAGCAGTACAGTTCAGGACACCTGGACTGCCCTTTCCCTCTGCCTTCCCTAGGGTAATGTGAATGGCTTAGTCTTTCGTGTTCCCATCTGTAACATGGAGGAGGAAGAGAAGAGCCTCATTGCACATATTGGGTCATTAAGATTGATCTTAGAACCATAATTTACAATATTTTGAAGTTAGGTTTGATTTTTACCATTCCACTACTCCTCTCTCCCAATATGTTGTGCCAAATTGTAAGTAATTTGCAATTAGAACACATTGAAGACATATATTTGAGCTGTTAGAGAGTCTCACCTACCTTTGAGGTAACTTTTTGTACTTTAGGTTTTCTCAATTCAGAGTGTTGAGTCCTTAAATCAGTGTTGGGTACTGATAAAATTTTGACACATAAAGTTAATTGCCTAAGCTTAGTAAATGGGGGACAGGCTTGCTTATCAACAGTCTTTGCGGTGTTTTATGCTGAAAAAGCCTTGAGGCTCAGACTCAGCCCACAGCTCTCTGCATTCCCTCCACCTCCCTTCTATGTCTTTCATGTGTATCCTTTACAGCAATTTTTTTGTGTGTGAGTTCTTTTCCTTTTTGAGATCTCTCTTAAGGTTAATGGTGTACAGTAGATATCCAGAACTTATTCATCCTTTTTAGCTGAAACATTGTACCCTTTGACAAACGTCTCCCCATATCCCCTGGGCGCAATTTTCAATAGGTAGTTAGGGAAAGCCTCAATGAAAAGGTTGGGATTTTGGGATGCTGATAATATTCAGTTTCTTGAACTAGGTACCTTTACACAGGAGTATCAGTTGATAACAATTCATTGAGAAATATACTTATGAGCAGAGATATATTTGACTGTTTGGTGAGACATTCTGGAGTTTAAGCTGTCACTTAAACCAGTTACAATTTTCCATAGGGAGCTACTCTGTCACTTGGGTCTTTTCCCAATTAAGCAAGGCTACTTTCCATGGAATCATTATCCAGTATATGAGATTAACTTGGCACTTGTTCAATATGTGCTTGCTTTATAATAGGTGATTGAATATTTTTTATTTTATATTTTAAAAACTGTATGTATTTGTGGCATACAAGATGATTTTTTGGTATGTATACATGGTGAAACGATTAATTCAAACTAACATATTTATCACTTCCACATACTTTCATTTTATTGTATGAGAACATTTAAAATCTCTTCTAAAAACTTCAAGTATACTTTTGGCCCTATGTTTCCATGAGTTCCACATTCAGGCATCCAACCAACTGGATAGAAACTATTAGGACAAAAAACCCACAAAAAATACAATAAAAGCAGTAAAAATAAAAAAAATACGTTATAACAACTATTTATAAAACATTTATATTTTATTAGTATTATAAGTAATCTATAGATGATTTAAAGTGTATGGAAGAATATGCATAGATTACATGCAAATATAAAATTACATCATTTTATATAAGGGACTTGAACATCCCAGGATTTCGGTGTCCTTGGGGAGTCCTGGAACAAATCACCCCCCAGATATTGCAGATATTTAGGGACAATGGTATAACACATGACTATTAACTACAGTCACTATGTTGTACAGTAGATCTCCAAAACTTATTCATCCTGTTTAGCTGAAACATTGTACCTTTTGACCGATATCTCTCAATTCCCCTGGGTGGAATTTTCAATAGCTAGTCAGGAAAGGCCTCACTGAAAAGGTGATATTTGGTCAAAGATTTGAAGGGAGTGTGGGGGAAAGAAACATAAATATCTGGGAAAAGAGCATTCCAGGCAGAGGAGATGGCATGTATACGGGCCACAAGGCAGGAGCGTGACTGCCATACTTGAGAGACCGTAAGGAATCTTCATCTTTTCCTCATGTCTTTCTCACCTCTAATATATTTAAATATGGCTTCCCCCCACCACACCTTTAAAATGGCCATTGCATAAATCACCAATAACATTTGTTTTAGTCCATTTTACATTGCTATAAAGGAATACCTGAGACTGAGTAATTTATAAAGAAAAGAGGTTTATTTGGCTCATGGTCCTGCAGTCAGTACAAGCGTGGCATCAGCATCTTCTTAGCTTCTGAAGCCTAAGGAAGCTTTTACTCATTGAAGAAAGCAAAGGGGGAGCAGGTGTGTCACATGGCAAGAGAGGGAGAAAGGTGGGGAGGGGGTTGTCCCACACTCTTTTTAACCAACAGATCTGATGGTAACTCTACTACGGGTAAAATGCAAACCCATTCCTGAGGGTTGGGTTGGATACCATCACCATCCCATGAGGGATTCACCTCCATAACACAGACACCTCCCACCAGGCACCCCCTCTGACACTGGGGATCACAATTCAGCCTGGGATTTGGAGGGTACATTGAGTATAATGTGAGCTGTAGGCTTGTAATACATGGTCTTTATTGTGTTGAAGTATATTTCTTCTAAACCAACTCTGTTGAGAATCTTTTCATGAAACAATGTTGAATTTTTCAAATGCCATTTCTGCATCTAATTAGATGATTATATAATTTTGGGGCTTCATTTTGTTAATGTTGTATATCACATTTATAGATTTATGTATGTTGATCCACCTTGTATCCTTGGGGTAAATCCACTTGAGCATGGTAAGTTATCTTTTTAATGTGCTGTTGAATTCAGTGTGCTAGTATTTGATTGAGGATTCTTGCATCTATGTTCATCAGGGATATTGGCCTGTAATTTTTCTTTTCTTTTCTTTTTCTTGTTCTTGGCTGACTTTGGTATCAGAGTAATGTTGGCCATGTAAAAAAAGTTTGGAAGTGAAGTATTCCTTCCTCTTAGATTTTTTTTGGAAGAGTTTGAGGATTGCTAATTATTTAAATGTTTGGTAGAATACAACAGTAAAGCTATTTTGGGCTTCTCTTTGATGGGAGACTTTATTACAATTCAATCTTATTCATTTTTGGTCTGTTCGTACTTACTTTTTCTTCATGATTCAGTATTGGTATCTTGCATGTATCTTGGAATTTATTTATTTCATCTGCTTTATTCAATTTGTTACTGTACAATTTTTCATAGTACTCTCTTATGAGCTTTTTTTCTTATGAGCTTTTATATTTCTGTGGTATCAGTTGTAATGTCTCCCTTTTCACTTTTGATTGTATTAATATTTGAGTCCTTTCTCCTTTTTCCTTGGTCTGGCTAAAGGCTTGTTGATTTGTTTATCCTTCTGAAAAAAATACTCTTTATTACATTGGGTTCTTTTCTATTGTAGTTTTAGTCTCTATTCTGTTTATTTCTATTCAGATCCTTGTTATTTCTTTCCTTCTGCTGACTTTGGGTTTAGTTTGTTCTTTTTTTATTAGTTACTAGAGTTGTAATATCAGGTTGTTTATTTTATCTTTTCCTTTTTAAATTTTTATGGGTACACACTGACTGTATATGTTTATGGGGTACATGAGATATTTTTCTACGGGCATACGATGTATAATAATTACATCACGGTAAATGGGGTATCCATCACTTCAAACATTTACCCTTTCTTTGTGTTACAAACAATGCAATTATGCTCTTTTAGTTATTTTTAAATGTACTATAAATTATGTTTGGCTATAGTCACCTTGTTGTTCTATCAAATACTAGATCTTACTTATTCTATCTAACTGTATTTTTATGCCGATTATTCATTCTTCCCCTTAACCCTACTATTCTTCCATCTCTGGTAACCATTACTCTATTCTCTATCTCCATAAATCCAGTTATTTTAAGTTTTAGCTCCCACAAATAAGTGAGAACATGGAAAATTTGTCTTTCTGTCCCTGGCTTATTTTATTTAACATAATAACCTCCAGTTCTATCCATGCTGTTGCAGATAACAGGATCTCATTCTTTTTCATGGCTGTATATTACTCTATTGTGTATATTAACCACATTTTCTTTATTTATTCATCTGTTCATGGACACACAGGTTGCTTCCAAATCATGGCTATTGTGAATAGTGCTGCAATATGCATGGGAGTGCAGGTATCTCTCAGATATCCTGATTTCCTTTCTTTCTTATATATACCTACCAATGGCATTGCTGGGTCATATGGTAGCTCTATTTTTGTTTTTGTTTTTTTTTTGAGAAACCTCCAAACTGTTCTCCATAGTAATTGTACTAATTTACATTCCCACCAATAGTGGGTTCCCTTTTCTCCACATCCTAGCCAGTATTTCTTACTGCCTGTCTTTTGGATATAAGCCATCTTAACTAGGGTTAGATGATTCGTCTTGTAGTTTTGGTTTGCATTTCTCTGATGAGCAATGATGTTGAGCACTTTTTCACATGCCTGTTTGCCATTTATATGTCTTCTTTTGAGCAAGATCTTTTGCCCATTTTTAAATTGGATGATCAGATTTTTTCTATAGAGTTGTTTGAGCTCCTTATATATTCTAGTTGTTAATCCCTTGTCAGATGGATAGTTTACAAATATTTTCTCCTATTTTATGATTGTCTTTTCAACATCAATTGAAATGATCCTGTGGTTTTTGTTTTTAACTTTATGTGATGAATCACATTTATTGATTTGCATATGTTGAATCATCCTAGCATTTCTAGAATAAAACTCAATTGATCATGGTGAATTAAATTTTTAATGTGCTGTTGGATTTATCCAACACAATATATATAGATAAATATAGATATATATAGATATACATATATATATAGATATATAGATATATAGATATAGATATATATATCCAACACAATATAAATAGATATATATATAATATATATATATATATAGACTGGTTATTCACCTGAGGCCTGATGCGCACCTGGGGCCGAATGTCCCCCTCAGGGTGAATTCCACCTCAGGCCTGTACGTCCACCTGGGGCTTGATGTCTGCCTTAGATCTGTGTCCCACTGGGGCCTTGTGTTCACTGGGGACTGGTATCCAGCTGTGGCCTGATGATCTACTGCATCCTGTTGCTCACCTATGGCCTGGTGTCTACCTGGGGCTTGGTGATCACCTGGGAGCCAGATATCAACTTGGGGCCTGGGTGTCCACTTAAGGCCTGATGTGTGCCTGGGGCCTGATTGTCCACCTGGGGACTGGGTGTCCACCTGGGGTCTGATGTCTACCTGAAGTTAGGTATCTACCTAAGGCTTGGTGTCTACCTGTGGCCTGATGTCCACATGAGTCTGGGGTTCAGTTGGTGCCTGCTGTACATCTGGGACCTTGGTGTCTATCTGGGGCCTGATGTCTACCTGGTGACTCCTGTCCTGTGGTACCTGGGGGGGGGGGCTTCTGCCAAATGGCCAGAGGCATCTGGGGTGAGGGATGAGCCTACGAGGGCATCATCAGCAAAGAAAGGCTCTCACTTCTGCCATTCCTGAAGCCAGAGCCTGGAGATGTGGGGATGCAGCACAACATCTTGCTCTCTTGAGTGTCTCCCACCAAGTGAGCTGGCTACGGGGCTAACTCTAGGATGTGGGTGCCTGGTTATTGGAATTCTTTTCTTTTTTTTTTTTTTTTTGAGACATAGTCTCATTCTGTTGGCCAGGCTGGAGTGCAGTGGCATGATCTCGGCTCAGTGCAACATCCGCCTACTGGGTTCAATCACTTCTCCTGCCTCCGTCTCCTGAGTAGCTGGGATTACAGGCATGAGACACACACCACGACACCTGGCTAGTTTTTTTGTGTTTGTTTGTTTGTTTGTTTGTTTGTTTTTTTGAGACAGAGTCTCGCTCTGTCCCCCAGGCTGGATAGAGTGCAGTGGCGAGATCTTGGCTCACTGCAAGCTCTGGGTCCTGAGTTCATGCCATTCTCCTGCCTCAGCCTCCTGAGTAGCTGGGACTACTGGCACCCACCACTATGCCCAGATAATTTTTGTATTTTTAGTAGAGACGGGGTTTCACTGTGTTAGCCAGGATGGACTCGATTTGCTGACCTTGTTTGTTTTTTGTATTTTTAGTAGACATGTGGTTTTACCATGTTGGTCAGGCTGGTCTCGATCTTCTGATTTCATGATCCTCCTGCCTCAGCCTCCCAAAGTGCTGGGATTACAGGTGTGAGCCAACGTGCCTGGCCTGGTTACCAGAATTCTTAGTTCTGTTAGGGTCTGTTGCCAAGGAAGTGAGGTCGCTTCTTTAAGTTTCCATCCCCTCGGCCTCCTCCTTCCAGAAAACTTTCTCAGGACCCCAGTGGGCTGCTGACTGCTCACCCTCCCCACAGGTCAACTCCTTACCTGTACACAGTTATGTCCACCCAGGACCTGCTTGGACACCTGCACCTGATGTTCACCAGAGGCCTAGGAATCCACTTGCAGCCTGGGATCCTACAGGGGCCTAATGTTACCCTGCAGATTGGGTAGCCACTTGGAGATCAGGTATCAACCTGGGGACTGTGGTTGACCTGCAGGCTAATGTCCACCTGGGGACTGGTTATTCACCTGAGGCCTGATGCGCACCTGGGGCCGAATGTCCCCCTCAGGGTGAATTCCACCTCAGGCCTGTATGTCCACCTGGGGCCTGATGTCTGCCTTAGATCTGTGTCCCACTGGGGCCTTGTGTTCACCGGGGACTGGTATCCAGCTGTGGCCTGATGATCTACTGCATCCTGTTGCTCAGCTTTGGCCTGGTGTCTACCTGGGGCTTGGTGATCACCTGGGAGCTGGATATCAACTTGGGGCCTGGGTGTCCACTTAAGGCCTGATGTGTGCCTGGGGCCTGATTGTCCACCCGGGGACTGGGTGTCCACCTGGGGTCTGATGTCCACCTGAAGTTAGGTATCTACCTAAGGCTTGGTGTCTACCTGTGGCCTGATGTCCACATGAGTCTGGGGTTCAGTTGGTGCCTGCTGTACATCTGGGACCTTGGCGTCTATCTGAGGCCTGATGGCTACCTGGTGACTGCCATCCTCCTGAGGCCTGATATCCACCTGGGAATGGTTTATCCATGGAAATGGTTATGACCGCCTGGGGCTGGATGTCGCCCAGTGGCTAGATGTCCACCTGTGGACCCGTGTCCACGTAGTGCCTGATGTCCACCTGGGACATGTTTTTCACCGGAGACCCGGGTGTTTACATAGGGCCTGATGTCCAGCTGGTGCCTAGGTGCCCACCGGGGGCCTTGTGTTAACCTGGGGACTGGTATCCAGCTGGGTCCTAATGAACACCTGGGTTGAATTATTCACCTAGAATTTGGTATTCATTTAGGGCTTGAGTGTCAGCCTTGGACCTGGTGTCCACCTGGGCCTTGGGTATCAAACTAGGGGTTTGGTGTCCAGTTGAGACATCATGTGCACCTGGGGTCTGAGTGTTCACATGAGGCCAGATGACCACTGGGGGCCTGAATGTCAACCTGGTGTCAAATTCACTGGAAGCCTAGGTATCCACCTGGGGCCTGATGTCCACCTGGGACCAGGTGTCAATGTGTGGCCTGATGTAAACCTCTAGTTCAGTGTCCATCTTGGGCCTGATGTCCACTGGGGGACTGATGTTTACCTTTGATCTGATGTCCACCTGGAAACCGTGTATTCACCTATGGCCTGATGGTCACCTAGGGTCGAATGTCCAACTGTGGCCAGATGTGCACCCGGAACCTGGGCATCCACCTGGGGCCTGATGTTTAGCTGGGGCCTGGAGTTCACCTGAGGCATGATGTCCACCTGAAGCTTAATGTTCATCTGAGTGCTGGATGTTCACCTGGCGCCTGATGTCCACCTGGAGCCTGAGGACCCTTCTCAGGCCTGATGTCCACAATTGGCCTGGTATTCATCTGGGGCCTTCGTGTTAATGTGGCCTAATGTATTCCTGGGTTCTAGGGTCCTCTTGGGACCTGATGTCTACCAGGATCCTGGTATCCACCTGGGGCCTGGTATCCACCTAGGGCTTGATATTCACCTGGGGCCTAGGAATCCACTTGATAACTGGTGCCCATCAGGGTCCTGATGTTCACCTTGGGAACAGGTAACCACCTGAGGCTTGATGCCCACTTAGGGTATAAGTGTTTATCTGGGGTCTAGTGTTCACATGGGGCCTGATTTCAACCTTGGGCCTAGGTATTCACCAGGGGACTAGTGTTCAGCTGGGGCCAGATGTTCACTTGGGGCCTGGTGTCAACTTGAAGCATGGTTGTCAGCCTGGGACCTGATGTCCAGTCCAGTGTCTCCCTTGGGCCTGTTTTCTAACTGGGGCCTGTGTGTCCACATAGACCCTGGTGTCAATCTGGGGCCTGGGTATTTACCAGGGGCCTGGATATTCATTAGTACATTATGTCTACTGGCGTCTTTGTGTCAATCTGAGCTCTGATGTCCACCTAGAGATTGGGTATCCACCTAAGGCCCGGTGTTTACATGGGGCCTGTAACATGAGGTTCCAGATGAACTCAGATGTCCACCTGAGGCCTCATGTCCACCTGAGTTCTGAGTGTTCACATAGGGCCTGCTGTCAACTTGGGACCTAAGTATTTACCTAGGGCCTGGGTGTCCACCTGGGGCCTGACTTCCAACTGGATCTTGTGTCAACATGGGGCCTGATGTCCACTTTGGGCCTAGGTAACTTCCTGATGACTAATGCCCACATGGCTCCTAAGGACCATCTGAGGCCTGGTATTAATTTAGAGACTGGTATCCATCTGGGGTCCAGGTATCCACTTGGGACCTGATGTTCACCTGGAGTGTAGGAATTCACGTGGGGCCTGGTGTCCACCTTGAGTGTGTGTATCCAACTGAGTGCTGGTGTCCACCTGGAGTCCAGTGTATACCTGGGGCCTGATGTACATATGGGACCTGGGCATCCATCTAGGACCTGATGTTCAGATAAGGGCTGGCATTCTCCTGGCCTGGTGTCCATATGGAGCCTGGGCGTACACTTGGAGCCTGATGTCCCAGGTGGATCGCTGGGCCCCAGTGGTCATCAGATCCTAGGAAACTCTCAGGACCCAGGTGCACATAAAGCTCCAAGTGGCCACCTAGGCCACAGGTTGATACACAGGGTCCAGGTGGACACTGGTTGCAAGATGAACACCAGGTCTCTGGTGGACACCAAGCCCCAGGTGTCTACCTAGTCCTCAAGTGGACACCAGGCACTAGATTGACACACAGGTACCAGGTGGACATCAGGCCGCAGGTGAATATCAGGCCTCAGGTGGTTGGGTTACTTATAGCATAGGTGGCCATCAGGTCCCAGGTCTATATCCACTCCCCACCTGAAAATCAGGATCCAGGTGGATACCCATGTCCTAGGTGAACACCAGGTTCCAAATGAACATCAGGCTCCAAGTGAACACACAGGCCCCAGTTCAATACCAGCCTTAGGTAGACATCAGGACCCAGGTGGACCCCAGGCCCAATGTGCATGCCTAGTCTCTTGGAATACATCATTTTCAAGGTGGACACCCAGATTCCTGGTAGACATCTGGTGCCAGGTGGATATCTGGCTGCAGGTGGACATCAGGCCCCAGGTGGAGACCCAGTACACAGGTGTAAATCAGGCTCTAGTATTTCATCAGGCCCCTGTTAAACACTTGACTAAAAGTGTGCATCAAGACCCAGGTTGACACCCAGGCTTCAGTGCACACTAGGCCCAAAGTGTACACCCATGCCCAGGTGGGCATCAGGCCCAAGGTGTACACCAGAACCCAAGTGGACATCAGGTTCCAGGTTGACACCAGTCTCTAGGTAGATCCTTAAGCCCCAACTGGTCATCAGGCCCAAGGTGGATACCTTGACCCCAGGGAGTCACCAGGTCCCAGGCCGGCCTCAGGTGGACACTAAGCCCTAGGTTAACACAAGGTGTGAGATGGTTTCAGCCCCCATGTGGGCTTTAATCATAAGGAGCTTACCTAGACCCTAAGTGGACATCAGGTCTCAGGTTGACACAATGAACCATGTAGAAGTCAGGCTCTAAGTAGACACCCAGGCCCTAGGTAAATACTTTGGTCCCAAGCCAATACCAGGCCCTATGTGGACACCAGGACTCCAGGCAGATGTCAGTCCCCAGGTGAACACTGAACTCAGGGTGGTCTTCAGGCGCTAGGCTGACACATAGGCCTCAGGTAGACAACAGGCATAGGTGAACTTCAGGCTCCAGGTGAACATTGGGCTCCAGGAAGAAGTCTGTGCCCCAATTAAACACCGGGTCTTAGTTAGACATCAGGCCTCAAATGGATGCCCAGGCCCCAGGTGGATATAAGGCCTCAGGCAAACACCAGGCCCCAGGTAGACATTAGACACGAGATGGACACTCAGGCCACAAATGAACATCTGTCCCCAGGTGGACATCCATCCCAAGGTGGACATCAGGCCAGAGATGTAAACCCAGGCCCCAGGAGAACCCCAGGCCCCAGGAGGACACTGAAGTGCCAGAAGGACACCCAGTCCCTAGGTAACTACAAGGCCTCAAGTGGACATGATGTTCCAGATGAATATGAGGCCCCAAGTGGATACTAGGCCCAGGTGGACCCCAGGTCTCAGGGGCACACCAGGCCCCAGGGGAACACCAGACCCTAGGTAAGCATGCAGTCCCAGGTGGACATCAGGTGCCAGGAGGACACCAGGACCCAGTTGGTCATCAATCCACAGCTGAACACCAGTTCCCCAAGAACACCAGTCCTCAGGTGGGCACCTAGTCCTCTCGTGTGCATCAGGTGCCAGGCTGACATAGGCACCAGCTGAACTCTGGGCCTCAGGTGAACATCAGATCCCAGGTTGTCACCCAGACCCCAGGTGAACACCAGGTTTTAGGTGGACACGAGGTCCTAGGTGGGTGTCTATGTTCCTGGTGAACCTCAGGCCCTAGTGGACACTCAGGCCCTTTATAGACATCTGGCTCCATGTGCACTCCCAGCGCCCAGGTAGACATGAGGCCCCAGAGGAACACCAGTCCTTAGTCATCTAAGACTGAATTCCCCTAGGGCTGGAGACTGAGTATTCACCTTGGGCCTAGGAATCTACCTGGGGCCAGATGTCGATCTGGGGCCTGATGTCTACTCAGGTTCAGCTGTCCACCTGAGGCGGGGTGGACCTCGACTCTGTCCCCACCCTGCAACATTGGGCCAGCTCAATCTCTGCCACCAGCTCCCTACATCGTCATCCCTCAGAGCCCTCGGGCGGGTTCCCCCTACCTAGTGTCTCTGGCCCCCACTCTCCACTCTCAGGCCTGACAAGCACGCAACCCCCACACATGTGTCTTCCTGAAGGCGTGGGTGTTGGGACCGCTGGCACAGAAGTCGCAGCTTAGCTACATGTGTGTCCCAGACTTGCTTCATCAATGGAGCAGTGAACCCGCTGCTTCTGTGGTACAGTCTCCTCCATTTCATGGGTCAGGTAGACAGGCTGCGTCCTCTTCACCCCCAGGTGTGCGCACAAACAGTCATCTCCACCTGCAATCCAGTCCCAGCTGAAGCTGCACGCTCTGCAACAGAGGCCTGTGCAGGACCTCGCTGCGCACACAGCAGGGGCTGCCCTCTGTCCCTCCCTCTCCCCTAAAGTCCCTGCCTGCCAGCCCCACGACCCACAGGAGGAGCCAGTCCCCTAGCCCAGGGAGCCAGGGTGGGTGTGGCCTGGGGACTTGGCGTGGCAAGCTGGCCCATAGGGTCGTCCCTAGCACCTACCAGAGCGCGTATGAGGGAGCCGAGGCTGCAGCGCCAGGTTGGCAGCGAGCTCCCTGGAGACCCATGCAGCGGGTCAGGTGCCAGCTGCGGCCAGGTCTGGGCGCGGAGCCGGGCCACCAGGGTGCGGCTTCCCGCTCTGGAGAGTTTATGGCCCCTGTCCTCGGACGGCTCCGCAGCCGCCAGGGAGGGACTGGAGGGACCGCGGCTGGGACAGGCTGCTGCATCAGGCGGCCCTGGACCGCCGCTTCCGCCCCTAAGCCGCCCTCGCAGCCCAGGCGACCGGTCGCCCTACCCAGGGAGCATCGCCCTCCTCAGCCGGGGCCCGAGCCCGGCGTGGGGGTTGCAGGCTGGCGCCACAGCCTGAGGACACCGCGACCTCTGCCCCCAGGAGCACGCCGAATGCCAGGTGGGGCTGCTGTCGCAGGCTGTGGAGCCGCAGCCCCGCTGGAGGGCAGGGTCCGGCTGGGCGTCGGGGTCCTGGCAGAGACCGCGGTGAGGGCAGGAGCAGGTGCACTGGCCGCTGCAGACGCGCCGCCAGGCTCCCGGACACCGCGGGCGCGCCCCTGGTGGCAGCCGGCTCCGGAGCCGCGGGAGGGCGGTGCCCAGTCCCCAGCTGGCGGCAGCGCGAAGCTCCTTCCCCGCTTGGGGGAGTGGGCGTGGACCTGCAGCCGGAGTGCCTTACTAACGAAAAAAGCTGGGATTGGAGTTGCCACGGGGGGAGGTGTGGGGGCCTAGGGGGCTCTGCCTGGACATTCTGGGTGTCCTCCTGCGACCTCAGGTTCCTCACCTGTCTCAGAGGACTGATGGGCTGCTGTGGCAGGGTTGTTTGGAGGATTAAGCCAGATAGTCCCAGTAAAGCCCCATTAGCGCCCCCTGGCCTCTGGATTATTATTTTTTTATTATTTTTCTGGCTTTCTTAGGAAACTTTCCGGAATGCGTCCAGGTGTTGAAGCGGGAAGGCTGGACACCCTCCCTTGGCGTTGCGGTTCCTTCCAGACGCCCCCTCTTCTTAGGCTGTTTTCAAGGGCATGCCCGGCAACATGTGCTCTACCCAAGAGCGCTTCACAGATCTTCCTGTGGGTCTAAAACCAGAACGCTTTCTTCCCCGACCCCTGCTCCCGTATCACCCCAACCTCAAGTCTTTTGGCACAGCCGGCTACAGACTCGAGTGTCAGTTTAATGCTTGTTCCCTAAGGTCTCCCCAGGGCTCTTAGGACGGCGTCAGGATTAGGATTCGGGTTCGGGTGCGCCTCTTCGCGCCTGCGCCGGCGCTGGCAGGGGGAGGGCCTCTCTGCGCCTGCGCCGGCGCTGGGGGCCTTTGCAAGGGTGGAGCTGCGTTCTCTTCAGCACAGACCCGGAGAGCGTCGTGATGGCGGAGCTTTCTCCTCTGCACAGGCTTCGGAGATACAGCGAAGGTGGAGCAATGTTCTCCTCAGCACAGACCTGGGCGGGTCGGGGGCACCGCGAGGGCGGAGCTGTGTTCTGCTCAGCACAGACCCCGGGGACACCGCGAAGGCAGAGCAAGGTTCTCCTCAGCACAGACCTTGAGGGCACTGCCTCGCTTTGGGACAACTCGGGGCCGCATCGACGGTGAATAAAATCCTTCCTGTTTGCAGCCCTGAATAATCAGTGTCAGAGACCAGTTAGAAGGGTTCAGTGTGGAAAACGGGAAATCAAAAGCCCCTCTGAATCCTGCCCACCGAGGTTCTCCCCAGCCAAGGCGAGGTGGCCGCAGTGCGAGATACATACCGCAGCCTCGGAAGACAAATGCAGCATTCCTAATGCAGACATGACACCCCCATTGCTCATGTAACAAGCACCTGTAATGCTAATGCACTGCCTCAATACAAAAATATTAATATAAGATCCGCAATCCCCTCACTGCTGTGCAGTCCTAAGACAGTGATCATAATAATCAACATTGACATAGTCAATACAAACGTAGTAACAAACCTAGGGTTAGGGGTTGGGGTTAAGTTTAGGGTTGGGGTGGGGGTCAGAGTTAGAGGTTGGGAGTCAACGTTTAGAGTTAGGGGTTAAGAGAGGTTAGGGGTTAGGGATTAGGGGTTAGGGCTGGGTTAGGGTGAGGGTTGGGGTTAGGGTTTAGGGTTAGGGGTTAGGGTTAGGGGTTAGGGGTCAGGGTCAGGGGTCAGGGGTCCCACTCTGTGGGTTGTCTATTTACTCTGCTGACTGTTCCCTTTGCCATGCAAAAGCTCGCTCTTTAGTTTAATTAAGTCCCAGCTATTTATCTTTGTTTTTATTGCATTTGCATTTGGTTTCTTGGTCATGAAATCCTTGCCTATGCCAAGGTCTAGAAGGGTTTATCCAGTGTTATCTTCTAGAATTTTTATAGTTCAGGAATTAGGTTTAAGTTCTTAATCCATCTTGAGTAGATTTTTGTATAAGGTGAGAGATGAAAATCCAGTTTTATTCCCCTATATGTGGCTTGCCAATTATCCCAACATCATGTGTTGAAAAGGATGTCCTTTCCCCACTTTATGTTTTTGTTCACTTTGTTGAAGATCAGTTGGCTGTAAGTATTTGGGTTAATTTCTGGGTTCTCTCATCTGTTCCATTGGTCTATGTGCCTATTTTTAAACCTGCTGATGGGAGGGTCCCATGGAAGTCTAGCCACCCCTCCCAGGTTGGTGCTCACAGCCCCTCCCTGGCCCACTCCCTCTACACCTGAACCTGCTGGTCTCTGGGAGAGGAGCATCCATCCATCTTGTGCGCATAGCTTTCTGCTCCATTTTCATGAGTTTTGTCTCCTTGGCAGAAATGCCCATTTGGTGATCCTGAGCCTGTGCTGGCTGTTCTCTAAGTGCCAAAGTCAGTGAGAGGGACTTGAAAACTCAAGAATTATTAACATTATTTTCTGCATTTTATGCTTTCAGGGTTGTTTTTTCCTTAAAATGTGTAAAAACAAATATTGAGGTTTCTATCTTTTATATAATTTGGATTCTGTCATCACATGGACTTTTCATTTTCCTAAAATTTATTTTTATGTATGTATATCAAACATTGAATTTCTCTTTTCTTCTTTACTGGAATTGTTAACTGTCTTAGAGGCCAAATCTTTTTTAAAAAATTCTCTCTAATCTCTGTAAACATTTCTAAATACATATGTATTTTCTATACCTAATACACTACTTTGGAATTCCTTGAGGCCTAATTGCATCGGGGTGCTCTGGTTTTGTTGTTGTTATTTCTGAATTACATTGACTTTGGTGCTCTTTATTTTGCGTATTTAAAACTATTAGATAGTGTGATTATATTTGACAGGTCTTAATTGATGCGCTGTTCAGCGCTTTGAGTTCGGTTGAGATTTGGGTCGGAGAATTTTCTTCCACAGGGGATTGTCTTGGATTTTTCTGTTTCTCCCTCAATATCCACCGGGAAAACATTTCAATTAATTTATATTCACTTAAATATTTCTGTGCAAAAACTGTGTACAAAAGCCCCAAAGTATAATTTGGGCAGTTGAGCCGATATTCTGTTGTCCAGCATTTATGGTGGTTTGTAGTGGAAAAGACTTTTTGAATATGTGAATTTTCAGGATATTACCAGAAGCCCAGATAGCCACACTTTACCTTTGGAGGAATTAATTCTCAGAATATTGCACACAATCAATTGCCTTTGGAAGGAGCACATATCCCCAGCAAAAGCTCTGGTTTTTTGAAGTGTGTATTGTGTGTTATTTCCAGGAGAATACGCAATGATGAAAATGTTATTAAATGATTCAAATATGAAATGCTGTTATGCCAAACAATGAATATTTGTGTTATACATTATGCCTAACTATAAATCTTTGTGTTATACATTTTAATGTCATTGGAGAGTACTCCTGTCTTCTTGGCATTATTGATAATTAGATTCTAATTGCTAATAAGTCAGAAAAATTAGGAACACCAAATTTTAGTCTTCTCAAAAGCACTGCTCTTATTAAATTTGGATTTTTACCTTTATCACATCAAAAGTAATATTGTTAGAAAGGTGTTTAATGTTTCCCAGATGGATAGATTACTGTTATTAGTTCTTATTTCATTGTTAATTTTTAAAACCATAAAGTTGGAAGTATCAATATGCCTTTCAATATACCCTAGTGGAATTTATTAAATTTTCATGGATGTCCTTTAGGAGGTTCAGGAAGTTATTTCTATTGCTAGATTTCTGGAAGATTCATCAGGAATGAGTGTCAGACATTGTCAGACATCCATTGAAATCCTCGTGGTCTTTTCCTTTATTCTATTAATATGGTGTATTACACTGATTGATTTTTAAATTTGTATTTGTAAGATAATTCCACTTGGTTATATTGTCTAACTTTTTTCTAATTTTCTTTAATTTTTATTAGAGGTGAGGCCTCACTCTGTCCCCCAGGTTGGGGTGGAGTGGCACAGTCACAGCTAACTATAACCTCAAACTCCTGGGCTTAAGTGTTCCTGCCACCTCAGCCTCCTAAGTAGCTGGGACTACAGGTGTGCACTGCCATGCCAGGCTTGTCTAACATTTTTATGTGTTGCTTCCTCTAGTTTGCTAGAGTTTTTGGAGATTTCTGCCTTCATTCATGAGGGATTTATTTTATTTTTATTTATTTATTTTCTTGTGATGCTTTTGTCTGATTTGTTATCTGGGTAATACTGGCCTCAAAAATGAATTGATGTTTTCCTGCTTCTCTGCTTTGCAAGTGTTTGTGAAGGATTGGTTATTCATTAAGTGTTTAATAGAATTCACTAGTGAAGCTATGTGAGCCTGGGCTAGACTGAAGAAGAGTTCTCATTAGTCTAATCTATTTACTTGCTGTATAAGTACGCATATATTCTCTTTCTTCTTGGTTTACTTTTACAATTTGTGTATAGCAGGGAATTTGTTTCTAATTTGTAGTATTTCATGCTTCTAGGTTTTTGTGGCAGTTGAGATGTAAGAATAAAAGTAATGTTGGGAGAAGGAAGTTGTGGACAATCCGTGAATATCCCAACATCTGTTGTAGGAAGGTTAAGATTTTTTTTTTTTTTTTGCTGTACTTAACTGAATACTCATATTTATAGTGTGAGACAAATGTAATGTTGCATATAAATAGAACTAGGAAAATGTGCCATTTGTCTTAGCATTTAATCAAGATGGAAGTCTGGGCCTACCTCCTCTCTTTTATTAATATGTAGACAGGACACCAACACACATTTGAATGAGGACAAACAAAATGTTAGCAAATGAAGAATGGTATTAATTGGTTAAAATGCGATGAAATAGAGTGGTGAATATTTACATAGAATCCATGATGTGTTAGGTGCTATTTCAAGCTATTTGCACATATAGCTTTCATACCAATGACACTAAAATGTATAGCACAAAGATTCATATACATAAAAATTACAACATTGAAAATAATATTAGGTGACACTAAAACTGTCATAGAAATACACATTTATATAAAACATAAAGTAACATCAAGTATTAAATAAATTTTAGAAACTTTGATTACTAATCAGATGAACAAGTGATTAACCTTTTTATCCAGTAAACAAAGCATACATCTTATTTTCAAATTCCAGAGACAAATATTTTAAATATTGAGGTTTAAGACCTAAAAATGTGTCACTGACTTCATGGAAGTAGATATTCACAAGGTGATATTTTCTAGGCTCTCTGAAATTACATCAGAAAAATGGGAATTAGAATATAACCCACAAATAATATCTGGCCACATACAAAGTAATTGAAGATCAATTTAAATAGCTATTGGATTAAGAAATAGAGACTGAGGTAAATTTACAGGGTCAGGGAGGATCTAAGGAGGAAGCATTGACACTGGAGCCCAAGGACCTGGGATTACAGAACAGATTCTACCAGTGCTAACTTACTGCTCCAGAGAAAACATCAATTCTGCTCTTGAACAGGTACTATTCATCAAGAAAGGGATTACAACTTCAGAAATGTTTTCAAAATGTATCCATACTTTGACTTATTCATGAAGTAATCACATTCTACACACAACTACTCCATATGGAATATTGGGCAGGGGGTGTTCCAAATAAAGAGACTGAGGATTTCTCATGAGAACTCAGTGTCTGCTAGAAAATATCTAAGTAAAATATTTTACTTATGTGGAAAGTATGGACGTTTGTGCATCAAAAGTTTCAAGAATCCCTAAAATGTACAATGGAGATGAGGAGAAAAAATCAGAATTTCCCAGCACCAGAAATGAGGTAAGAATAAATTCAGAGGAGTTGTAAATGTGAAAAGCCAATGGCTGGTGACACAGCAACATTGATAACCTTTCGCCAGGACAACTAGAATAAATACATAAACATACAGATTGAAAATATTTCCAATATTAGATCTCTCTCATGTGAGAACTAAATTATAAAGATTGAAGCATATAAGAAAAAAAGCTACCAGAATAAATTCGATTACACATAAATTTCTGATATTGAAATTGTCACAAATGTTTAAGTTGGTAGTGGAAGACAAAGGACATATAATCTTGGGAGTCCTAGGGCCCTGCCCACTGCCAGTCCCTCCACACTACTACAGCTGATGCTTTCTGGAAAGCACCACCTCCTGGCAGGAGGCCAACCAGCACAAATATAGAGCATTACACCACTAAAACTAAGGACCCTCACAGAGTCTATTGCCCCCTTCACCACCTCTGCTGGAACAGGTGCTGGTATCCACAGCTGAGAGACCCATAGATGGTTCACATCACAGGGCTCTATGCAGACAAACCCTAGTACCAGCCCAAAGCCAGGTAGACCTGCTGGGTGTCTAGACCCAGAAGAGAGACAACAATCAATGCACTTCAGCTCACAGAAGCCATGCCCATAGGAAAAGGGGGAGAGTACTACATCAAGGGAAAACCCTGTGGGACAAAAGAGTCTGAACAACAGTCTTTAGCCCTAGACCTTTCCTCTGACAGAGTCTACCAAAATGAGAAGGAACCAGAAAACCAGCCCTGGTAATCTGACAAAACAAGACTTTTCAACACCCCCCCCAAAAATCACACCAGTTCATCACCAATGGATCCAAACAAAGAAGAAATCACTGATTTATCTGAAAAAGAATTCAGGTTAGTTATTAAGCTAATCAGGGAGGGGCCAGAGAAAGGTGAAGTCCAATGCAAGAAAATCCAAAAAATGATACAGCAAATGAAGGGAGAAACATTCAAGGAAATAGCTTAAATTAAAAAAAATGAAAATAAAAAAATAAAAAATCAGGAAACTTTGTGTGCACTTTTAGAAATGTGAACTGCCCTGGAAAGTCTCAGCAATAGAATTGAACAAGTAGAAGAAAGAAATTCAGAATTCGAAGACAAGGTCTTTGATTTAACCCAATCCAATAAAGACAAAGAAAAAAGAATAAGAAAGTATGAGCAAAGCCTCCAAGGAGTCTGGCATTCTGTTAAACGATGAAACCTAAGACTAATTAGTGTACCTGAGGAAGAAGTGAATTCTAAAAGCCAGGAAAACATATTTGGGGGAATAATCAAGGAAAACTTCCATGGCCTTGTGAGAGACCTAGACATCCAAATACAAGAAGCACAAATAACACCTGGGAAATTCATCACAAAAAGATCTTAGCCTAGGCACACTGTCATTAGGTTATCCAAAGTTAAGACAAAGGAAAGAATCTTAAGAGCTGTGAGACAGAAGCACTAGGTAACCTATAAAGGAAAACCTATCAAAGTAACAGCAGATTTTGCAGCAGAAACCTTACAAGCTAGATGGGATTGGGGCGCTTTCTTCAGCCTCCTCAAACAAAACAATTATCAGCAAATAATTTTGTATCCAGCAAAACTAAACATCATATATGAAGGAAAGATACAGCCATTTTCAGACAAACAAATGCTGACAGAATTTGCCATTACCAAACCAACACTGTAAGAACTGCTAAAAGGAGCTCTAAATCATGAAACAAATCCTGGAAACACATCAAAACAGAACTTCATTAAAGCATAAATCACACAAGACCTATAAAACAAAAATACAAGTTAAACAGCAAAAACAAAAAACAAAAACAAAGTACAGAGGCAGCAAAGAGCAAGATGAAAGCAATGTTATCTCACTTTTTAATACTAATGTTGGTTGTAAATGGCTTAAATGCTCCACTTACAAGATACAGAACCACAGAATGGATAAGAACACACCAACTAACTATCTGCTGCCTTCAGGAGACTCATCTAACACATAACGACTTACATAAACTTAAGGAAAGTGGTAGAAAAAGGCATTTCATGCAAATGGACACCAAAAGCGAGCAGCGGTAGCTATTCTCATATGAGACAAAACAAACTTTAAAGTAACAGCAGCTAAAAGAGACAAAGACAGACAGTATATAATGGTAAAGGTCTCATCCAACAGAAAAATATGACAATCCTAAACATACATGAACCTAACACTGGAGCTCCCAAATTTATAAAACAATTACTAGTAGACATAAGAAATGAGATAGACAGCAACACAATAATAATGGGGGACTTCAATACTCCACTGACAGCACTAGACAGGTCATCAAGACAAAGTCAACAAAGAAACACTGGATTTAAACTATACTTTGGAACAAATGGACTTAACAGATATATACAGAACATTTCATCCAGCAACCACAGAATACACATTCTATTCAACAGCACATGGAATTTTCTCCAAGATAGACCATATGATAGGCCATAAAACGAGTCTCAGTAAATTTAAGAAAATTGGAATTGTATCACGCACTCTCTCAGATCACAGTGGAATAAAACTGAAAATCAACTCCAAAAGGAATCTTCAAAACCATGCAAATACATGGAAATTAAATAACCTGCTCCTGAATGAGCATTGGGTGAAAAACGAAATCAAGATGGAAATGTAAAAAATTTCTTTGAACTGGATGACACAACCTATCAAGACCTCTGGGATACAGCAAAGGCAGTGCTAAGAGGAAAGTTTGTAGCCCTAAACACCTACTTGAAAAAGTCTGAAAGAGCACAAAGAGACAATCTAAGTTCACATCTCAGGGAACCAGAGAAGCAGGAACGAGCCAAACCCAATCCCAGCAAACAAAGGAAATAATCAAGGTCATAGCAGAACTAAATGAAATTGACACAACAACAGCAAAAACAACAAATACAAAACATAAATAAAACAAAAAGTTGGTTATTTGAAAAGATAAATAAAATTGATAGACCATTAGCAAGATTAACCAAGAAAAGAAGAGAGAAAACCCAAATAACCTCACTAAGAAATGAAACGGGATATTACAACTGACACCACTGAAATATTAAAGATTATTCAAGGGTACTATGAACACCTTTTGGCACATAAACTAGAAAACCTAGAAGAGTTGGATAAATTCCTGGAAAAATACAACCCTCCTAGCTTAAATCAGGAAGAATTAGATACCCCAAGCAGATCAATAAAGCAAGCAGCAAGATTGAAATGGTAATTATAAAATTACCAACAAAAAAAGCCGAGGACCAGACATATTCACAGCAGAATTCTATCAGACATTCAAAGAATGTCTTCTTTCATTCAAAGAAGAAATGATACCAATCCTTTCACACTATTCCACAAGACAGAGAAAGAAGAAACCCTCCCTGATTCATTCTATGAAGCCAGCATCACCCTAATACCAAAACAAAGAAAGGACATAACCAAAAAAGAAAACTACAGACCAATATCCTTGATGAATGCAGATGCCAAAATAATTAACAAAATACTATCTAACTGAATCCAAAACATATCAAAAAGATAATCCACGATTATCAAGTGGGTTTCATACCAGCGATACATTAATGGTTTAACATATGCAAGTCAATAAATGTGATACACCAAATAAACAGAATTTAAAAAAAACTCACATGATTGTATCAACAGATGCAGAAAAAGCATTTGACAAAATCTAGCATTGCTTTATGATTAAAGCTCTCAGCAAAATAGGCATAAAAGGGACATAGCTTAATGTAATAAAACGCACCTATGACAAGCCCACAGCCAACATAACACTGAATGGGGAGAAGGTGAAAGCATTCCCTTTGAGAACTGGAACAAGACAAGGAGCCTACTCTCACCACTCCTCTTCAACATAGTACTGGAAGTCCTGGCCAGAGCAATCAGACAAAAGAAAGAAATAGAGGAAATCCAAATTGGTAAAGAGGAAATCAAACTGTCACTGGTTGCTGACGATATGATCTTTCACCTTGAAAACCCTACGGACTCCTCTAGAAAGCTCCTAGAACTGATAAAAGAATTCAGCAAAGTTTCCAGATACAAGATTAATGGACACAAATCAGTAGCTCTTCTATACATCAACAGCTACCAAGCAGAGAATCACATCAAGAACTCAACCCCTTTTACAATAGCTGCAAAAAACAAAAACAACAAAAAACAAAACTTAGGAATATACCTAGCAAAGGAATCAAAAGACCTCTACAATGAAAATGACAAAACACTGCTGAAAGAAATCATAGATGGAGCCAAGCATGGTGGTGCATGCCTATAATCCCAGCTACTCAGGAAGCTGAGGCAGGAGAATCGCTTGAACCCAGGAGGCAGAAGTTGTAGTGAGCCGAGATCACACCATTGCACTCCCACCTCAGCGACAAGAGTGAAACTCCCTCTGGAAAAAAAAAGAAAGAAAAGAAATCATAGATGACACAAACAAATGGAAATGCATCCCCATGCTCATAGATGGGTAGAACCAATATTGTGAAAATTACCATTCTGTTAAAAGCAACCTACAAATTCAATGCAATCCCCATCTGAATACCACCATCATTCTTCACAGAATTACAAAACAATTCTAAAATTAATACAGAACAAAAAGAGAGCCATGTAGCCAAACCAAGGCTAAGCAAAAAGAACAAACCTGGAGGCATCACACTACTTGATTTCAAACTGTACAATAAGGCCATAGCTACCAAAACAGCATGGTACTGGTTTAAAAATAGGCACATAAACCAATAGAACAGAAGAGAGAACCCAGAAATTCACCCAAATACTTACAGCCAACTGATCTTCGACAAAGTAAAAAAAAAAATAAGTGGGGAAAGGACACCCTTTCCTACACATGATGTTGGGATAATTGGCGAGCCACATGTAGGGGAATAAAACTGGATTCTCATCTCTCACCTTATACAAAAATCTACTCAAGATGGATTAAGAACTTAAACCTAATTCCTGAACTATAAGAATTCTAGAAGATAACACTGGATAAACCCTTCTAGACATTGGCATAGGCAAGGATTTCATGACCAAGAAACCAAATGCAAATGCAATAAAAACAAAGATAAATAGCTGGGGCTTAATTAAACTAAAAAGCTTTTGCATGGCAAAGGGAACAGTCAGCAGAGTAAATAGACAACCCACAGATTGGGACTGCTAACCCTGACTCTGACCCCTGACCCTGACCCTGACCCTGACCCTGACCCATAACCCCTGACCCTGACCCCTAACCCCTGACCATAACCCCTAACCCCTAACCCTAACCCTTAACCCTAACCCCTAACCCTAACCCTAACCCTAAAACCTAACCCCAACCCTCATCCTCACCCTAACCCAAGCCCAACCCCTAATCCCTAACCCCTAACCTCTCAACCCCAACTGTAAATGTTGACTCCTAACCCCTAACTCTGACCCCAACCCCTATCTCCAACCCCTAACCCTAAACTTAACCCCTAACCCCTAACCCTAACACCAACCTTAACCCTAGGTTCCTTACTACGTTTGTATTGACTAAGTGAATGTTGATTATTATGATTGCTGTCTTAGGACTTCATGGCAGTGAGGGAATTGTGGATCTTATATTAATAAGAGCATTTTTTCATGTGTCTCTTGGCTGCATAAATGTCTTCCTTTGAGAAGTGTCTGTTCATATACTTTGCCCACTTTTCGATGGGGTTGTTTGTTTTTTTCTTGTAAATTTGTTTGAGTTCATTGTAGATTCTGGATATTAGCCCTTCGTCAGATGAGTAGATTGCAAAAATTTTCTCCCATTCTGTAGGTTGCCTGTTCACTCTGATGGTAGTTTCTTTTGCTGTGCAGAAGCTCTTTATTAATTATTTCCCATTGTCAATTTTGGCTTTTGTTGCCACTGCTTTTGGTGTTTTAGACATGAAGTCCTTGCCCATGCCTATGTCCTGAATGGTATTGCCTAAGTTTTCTTCCATAGTTTTTATGGCTTTAGGTCTATCATTTAAGTCTTTAATCTATCTTGAATTAATTTTTGCATAAGGTGTAAGGGAGGGATCCAGTTTCAGCTTTCTACATATGGCTAGCCTGTTTTCCCAGCACCATTTATTAAATAGGGAATCCTTTCCCCATTTCTTGTTTTTGTCAGGTTTGTCAAAGATCAGATGGTTGTAAATGTGTGTTGTTATTTCTGAGGGCTCTGTTCTGTTTCATTGGTCTTTATCTCTGTTTTGGTATCAGTACCATGCTGTTTTGGTTACTGTAGCCTTGTAGTATAGTTTGAAGTCAGGTAGCGTGATGCCTCCAGCTTTGTTCTTTTGGCTTAGGATTATCTTGACAATGTGGGCTCTTTTTCGGTTCCATATGAACTTTAAAGTAGTTTTTTCCAATTCTGTGAAGAAATTCATTGGTACCTTGATGGGGTTGGCACTGAATCTATCAATTACCTTGGGCAGTATGGCCATTTTCACGATATTGATTCTTCCTATCCATGACCATGGAATGTTCTTCCATTTGTTTGTATCCTCTTTATTTCATTGAGCAGTGGTTTGTAGTTCTCCTTGAAGAGGTCCTTCACATCCCTTGTAATTTGGATTCCTAGGTATTTTATTCTCTTTGAAGTAATTGTGAATGGGAGTTCACTCATGTTTTAGATCTCTATTTGTCTATTATTTGTGTATAAGAATGCTTGTAATTTTTGCACATTGATTTTGTATCCTGAGACTTTGCTGAAGTTGCTTATCAGCTTAAGGAGATTTGGGCTGAGATGATGGGGTTTTCTAGACATACAATCATGTCATCTTCAAACAGGAACAATTTGACTTCCTGTTTTCCTAATTGAATACCCTTTATTTCTTTCTCCTGCCTGACTGCCCTGGCCAGAACTCCCAACACCACGTTGAATAGGAGTGGTGAGAGAGGGCATGCCTGTCTTGTACCAGTTTTCAAAGGGAATGCTTCCAGTTTTTGCCCATTCAGTATGATATTGGCTGTGGGTTTGTCATAAATAGCTTTTATTATTTTGAGATATGTCCCATCAATACCTAATTTATTGAGAGTTTTCAGCATGAAGTGCTGTTGGATTTTGTCGAAGGCCTTTTCTGCATTTGTTGAGATAATCATGTGGTTTTTGTCATTGGTTCTGTTTATATGCTGAATTACATTTATGGATTTGCGTATGTTGAACCAACCTTGCATCCCAGGGATGAAGCCCACTTGATCATGATGGATAAGCCTTTTGATGTGCTGCTGGATTCTGTTTGCCAGTATTTTATTGAGGATTTTTGCATCAGTGTTCATCAGGGATATTCGTCTAAAATTCTCTTTTTTTGTTGTGTCTCTTCCAGGCTTTGGTATCAGGATGATGCTGGCCTCATAAAATGAGTTAAGACGGATTCCCTTTTTATCTATTTATTGGAATAGTTTCAGAGGGAATGGTACCAGCTCCTCCTTGTACCTCTGGTGGAATTTGGCAGTGAATCCTTCTGGTCCTGGACTTTTTTTGGTTGGTAGGCTATTAATTATTGCCTCAATTTCAGATCCTGTTATTGGTCTATTCAGGGATTAAACTTCTTCCTGGTTTAGTCTTGGGAGGGTGTATGTGTCGAAGAATTCATCCATTTCTTCTAGATTTTCTAGTTTATTTGCATAGAGATGTTTATAGTATTCTCTGATGGTAGTTTGTATTTCTGTGGGATCCATGGTGATATCCCCTTTATCATTTTTTATTGCATCTATTTGATTCTTCTCTCTTTTCTTCTTTATTAGTCTTGCTAGCGGTCTATCAATTTTGTTGATCCTTTCAAAAAACCAACTCCTGGATTCATTGATTTTTTGAAGAGTTTTTCGTGTCTCTATCTCCTTCAATTCTGCTCTGATCTTAGTTCTTTCTTGCCTTCTGCTAGCTTTTGAATGTCATTGCTCTTGCTTCTCTAGTTCTTTTAATTGTGATGTTAGGGTGTCAATTTTAGATCTTTCCTGCTTTCTCTTGTGGGCACTTAGTGATATAAATTTCCCTCCACATACTGCTTTAAATGTGTCCCAGAGATTCTGGTATGTTGTGTCTTTGTTCTCATTGGTTTCAAAGAACATCTTTATCTCTGCCTTCATTTCGTTATGTACCCAGTAGTCATTGAGGAGCAGGTTGTTCAGTTTCCATGTAGTTGAGCAGTTTTGAGTGAGTTTCTTAATCCTGAGTTCTAGTTTGATTGCACTGTGGTCTGAGAGACAGTTTGTTATAATTTCTGTTCTTTTACATTTGCTGAGAAGTGCTTTACTTCCGACTATGTGGTCAATTTTGGAATAAGTGTGGTGTGGTGCTGAGAAGAATGTATATTCTGTTGATTTGGGGTGGAGGGTTCTGTAGATGTCTATTAGGTCTGCTTGGTGCAGAGCTGAGTTCAATTCCTGGATATCCTTGTTAACTTTCTGTCTCGTTGATCTGTCTAATGTTGACAGTGGGGTGTTAAAGTCTCCCATTATTATTGTGTGGGAGTCTAAGTCTCTTTGTAGGTCACTAAGGACTTGCTTTTTGAATCTGGGTGCTCCTCTATTGGGTGCATATATATTTAGGATAGTTAGCTCTTCTTGTTGAATTGATCCCTTTACTATTATATAATGGCCTTCTTTGTCCCTTTTGATCTTTGTTGGTTTAAAGTCTGTTTTATCAGAGACTAGGATTGCAACCCCTGCCTTTTTTTGTTTTCCATTTGCTTGGTAGATCTTCCTCCATCCCTTTATTTTGAGCTTATGTGTGTCTCTGCTCGTGAGATGTGTCTCCTGAATATAGCACGCTGATGGGTCTTGACTCTTTATCCAATTTGCAGTCTCTGTCTTTTAATTGCAGCATTTAGCCCATTTACATTTAAGGTTAATATTGTTATGTGTGAATTTGATCCTGTCATTATGATGTTAGCTGGTTATTTTGCTCATGAGTTGATGCAGTTTCTTCCTAGCCTCGATGGTCTTTACAATTTGGCATGTTTTTGCAGTGGCTGTTACCGGTTTTTCCTTTCCATGTTTAGTGCTTCCTTCAGGAGCTCTTGTAGGGCAGGCCTGGTTGTGGCAAAATCTCTCAGCATTTGCTTGTCTGTAAAGGATTTTATTTCTCCTTCACTTATGAAGCTTAGTTTGGCTGAATATGAAATTCTGGGTTGAAAATTCTTTTCTTTAGAAATGTTGAATATTGGCCCCCACTCTCTTCTGGCTTGTAGAGTTTCTGCTGAGAGATCAGCTGTTAGTCTGATGGGATTCCTTTTGTGGGTAACCCAACGTTTCTCTCTGGCTGCCCTTAATATTTTTTCCTTCATTTCAGCTTTGGTGAATCTGACAATTATGTGTCTTGGAGTTGCTTTTCTTGAGGAGTATCTTTGTGGCTTTCTCTATATTTCCTGAATTTGAATGTTGGCCTGCTTTGCTAGGTTGGAGAAGTTCTCCTGGATAATATCCTGCAGAGTGTTTTGCAACTTGGTTCCATTCTCCCCGTCACTTTTGGGTACACCAATGAAATGTAGATTTGGTCTTTTCACATAGTCCCATATTTCTTGGAGGCTTTGTTCATTTCTTTTTATTCTTTTTTCTCTAAACTTCTCTTCTCTCTTCATTTCATTCATTTGATCTTCCATCACTTATAAACTTTCTTCCAGTTGATCGAATCAGCTACTGAAGCTTGTGCATTCATCATGTAGTTCTCATGCCATGGTTTTCATCTCCATGAGGTCATTTAAGGGCTTCTCTACACTGGTCATTCTAGTTAGCCATTTGTCTAATCTTTTTTCAAGGTTTTTAGCTTCTTTGCATTGGGTTCAAACTTTCTCCTTTAGCTTGGAGAAGATTGATTATCTGAAGCCTTCTTCTCTCAACTCGTCAAAGTCCATCCAGCTTTGTTCCATTGCTGGTGAGGGGCTGCATTGCTTTGGATGGGAGAGGTCCTCTGATTTTTAGAATTTTCAGCTTTTCTGCTCTGTTTTTTCCCCATCTTTGTGGTTTTATCTACCTTTGGTCTTTGATGATGGTGACCGACAGATGGGGTTTCGGTGTGGATGTCCTTTCTGTTTTTTAGTTTTCCTTCTAATAGTCAGGATCCTCAGCTGCAGGTCTGTTGGAGTTTGCTGGAGGTCCATTCCAGACGCTGTTTCCCTGGGTATCAGCAGCAGAGGCAGCAGAACAGCGAGTATTGCTGAACAGCAATTGTTGCTGCCTAATCATTCATCTGGAAGTTTTGTCTCAGAGGGGTACCCGGCCTTGTGAGGTGTCAGTCTGCCCTTACTGGGGAGTGCCTCCTAGTTAGGGTACTCGGGGGTCAGGGGCCCACTTGAGGAGGCAGATCTCAAACTCCATGCTGGGAGAACCACTACTCTCTTCAAAGCTGTCAGACAGGGACATTTAAGTCTGCAGAGGTTTCTGCTGCCTTTTGTTCAGCTATGCCCTACCCCAGAGGTGGAATCTACAGAGGCAGGCAGGTCTTCTTGAGCTGCAGTGGGCTTCACCCAGTTCGAGCTTCCTGGATGCTTTGTTTACATACTCAAGCCTCGGCAATGGTGGGCGCCCCTCCCCCAGCCTTGCTGCCACCTTGCAGTTTGATCTCAGACTGCTGCGCTAGCAGTGAGCGAGGCTCTGTGGGTATGGGACCCTCCAAGCCATGTGCAGGATATAATCTCCTGGTGTGCCTTTTGCTAAGACCATTGGAAAAGCACAGTATTAGGGTGGGAGTGACCCGATTTTCCAGGTGCCATCTGTCACCCCTTCCCTTGGCTAGGAAGGGGAATTCCCTGACCCCTTGCACTTCCTGGGTGAGGAGTTGCCTTGCCGTGCTTTGGCTCACGCTTGGTGGGCTGCACCCACTATCCTGCTCCCACTGTCTGATGAGCCTCAGTGAGATGAATGCCGTAACTCAGTTGGAAATGCAGAAATCACCCATCTTCTGTGTCACTCACCCTGGGAGCTGTAGACTGGAGCTGTTCCTATTTGGCCATCTTGGAACTGCCCTCCAATCTCATATTTTTAGTTCTAGCTCAGATCTCTCCCATATCTCCAAAGTGGTATATCCAAGTCATGCAACACTTTCATTTGTATCTCTCACACTTAACATACCTAAAACTAAATTTCTAACCTTCATCCCCCAAATCTGTTCCACTCACAGCCTTTTAATACCTCAGTAAAGGTTGGGTGTGGTGCTCATGGCTGTAATCCCAGAACTTTGGGAGGCCGAGATGGGCAGATCACGAGGTCAGGAGTTCGAGACCAGCTTGGCCAACATGGTGAAACCCCATTTCTACTAAAAATACAAAAATTAGCCAGGCATGGTGGCAGGTGTCTGTAATCCCCGATACTCAGGGGGCTGAGGCAGGATAATCACTTGAACCTGGGAGGAAGAAGTTGCAGTGAGCTGAGATTGTGCCACTGCACTCCAGCCTGGGTGACAGGGAGACTCTGTCTCAAAAAATAAATAAATAAAAAGAAATCCTATTGGTCCTACTTTCAAAAATGAACTAAACAGACACCCTACTACCTCAGAGCCTTTGCTCAATCTGTTCCTTTTGCCAGAAATGTTCTTTTCTAAGATAAATGCAGTTTATTCCTTCTTCTCCTTCAGATTTTCTCTCAAATGTCACCTTCTCCTTCAATCACACCTTGAACATTCCATTTAAAACTATAATCCTTCTCCCAGAGCTTCTAAACCTCTTTACCTTGCTCTATTCTTTCCTCCATACATTTTTATTACCTTTTAACATATTCTACTAAATTCTAATATGACATATCAATGTCCAGTTCCTGCTTTTAGAATTTAAACTCTATGAAGACAGAGATTATTCTATTCCAGCAGCTAAAATAGAGTCTAGCTCTTAACAGATACTATTAAATATTTAGTCCTAGTGTGGTGGCTCACGCTTATAATCCCAACACTTTGGGAGGCCGAGGTGGGTGGATCATGAGGTCAGGAGACTGAGACCAACCTGGCTAACATGATGAAACCCTGTCTCTACTAAAAATACAAAAAATTAGCCAGGCATGGTGGTGGGTGCCTGTAGTCCCAGTACTTGGGAGGCTGAGGCAGGAGAATGCTGTGAACCCGGGAGGTGGAGGTTGCAGTGAGCCAAGATTGCTCCACTGCACTCCAGCCTGGGTGACAGTGTGAGACTCCATCACAAGAATAAATAAATAAATAAATAAATAAATAAATAAATAAATAAATAAATAAAATAAAAAGATACCATTAAATATTTAACAAATTAATTGACTATAAACTAGCATCTATCCATTCTATTCATTCATTCAAGAAATATACATTGTCAGCTGGGCGCAATGGCTCACCTCTGTAATCCCAGCACTTCGGGAGGCTACTGGAGTTAGAAAGATCAATAAGAGGAACAGGTAAAGAAGGACCATTTATTAACTGTCTACTATGTGCCAAGCACACACATTATTTGTCAGAATCTAAAGTAATTTCTTCAAGGTTACATAGCTAATAAGTATTAAAATGAATTTCAAAAGTTAGTCAACTTGACTCTGAAGTCTACATTCACTCCACTATACCAGGCTGCTCCTTCATAAATTATACTAATCCCTGTCATAAAGCAAGATTTGATACTTGGCTATTATTATTTATCCCAAAATACAAATGTTTCTAATACTTTGGGATGCAATTTTACCTATTCCAGAATACATTGCAGAATCAAATATGGACTTTATACAGAGTATCAATTAGAGAATGTATGAAGAAGGCAAGGCAATCTTCTCAACTTATGACTTTAACACGTTCAAAGGTAACATCTTTTATCTGGACAGGATCTATTGCAGAATCAAGCCCCATTGTTGTCTGGAAGCAGACTAAAGGGAAGAAAAGAAATGCTTATATTTGATAGATTAATAACATTCCAATCACTTTACTTTTTAGATGCAAGAAAGCAAAGCCTAGAAAAATTAAATGTCTAAGGGAACTAACTTCACATATCAAATCAGAATGAGGAATATAAACTAGGTCTTCTGGGTTTCTAAACCATTTTCAAAGAGTAAGTGATTCACATTAAAAAGACATATTTCAGCTGCTCTGCCTATGGAGTAGCCATTCCGTTCTTTTATTCCTTTACCTTCTTAATAAACTTGAAAAAATAAAAATTAAAAAATACTAAGACATATTTGTACTTTCCAGTTAGTAAAATCAAAAATTATTTTCCACTTCTTATTGTAGTATCTAATGATAGAAATCTTAATTCAGCATTTCTCAATCTTTGGTGTGAATAAAACTCACTTGAGAAATATGTTAAAATGCTGGTTCTCAGGCCATAACACAGAACTATGTTTGTAAATTTGAGAAAGGGCCCAGGAGAATTTGCATTTTTAACAAAAACTTAGATTATTCTGATATAACTGGTCACAGATCTACACTTTGAAATATATTGCCTTAAAGTTAGCAGAAAATACTGACACACACTAATAAAAAATTGAGATTTAACCCATGGAAAGTCTACACTTTCCATGTAGTCTTCTTCTTCTGACAACTGTTATTACTTGCCCTCAAATGACCTATCGGTTATGACATCATTAAGTACAACCAAGACAGAAAAAGTCTGACAGAACAGTAAAATATTTGAGATCAATTTTGGAGAACTATTACAAGGATTTCTTAAATCTTTCCCACTCAGAAACTTCCAAACTAGAGCAGTTATAAATGAGTAAATTGAGCAATTTCTATTTTCCTCAAAAGAAGCCCAAAAATACTTTTAAGATAGGCTGAAAAATGAGTTGGCAAAATACAGGGTTAAGAAGAAATCCTTAATAAATCAAGAACACAGAAGTTGGGAGAGCAAATTTAAAATAGTAATTCTAGAATGAACACTAATAGTTTTAGCCCACTAAAGTATTTTTTTAAATCTGTACATATCCTTAATAATAAAGAGAATAGAGAACACAGCGTGAAAACTGCATGGTGGTTGAAAAAGTAATTGGAAACACTTAAGTCTTACACTATTACTTCATTTCAGATAAGCAAACTATAAAAAAGAGAAACATTTAATGTAATTTTCTGAATAAATTGAATTTATTAGTTTATCTTTGAAATAGAAGGCTATTTCAGCTTGTATTGCTATTCTAAAATTCTTCCACATAATTTTTAAATTAATTAACTAATTAATTAATTTTCCTTTCACCCTGTTGATCAGGATAATTTTTAAATTTTATAACTAGACAGGTATCATTTTCTAAAAATCTGAGAAACTAACCACTACTAGGAGTGAAAGCCTAGCTTCTGGAACTATAAACATTAATATGTTCTTTCTTTAAGGTTTAGATTAAGCATTAAATAGAATCATGTATTTAAAGGAATAAGAAACTAACAAGTTAGATTAATAAAAAAACTTTTACCAGATAAAATGGGTTTTTTAAAAGTCCGTAAATGCCGAATAGCAGCAGAAAGAAGAGAATCAGACAGGTTCGTCTTAGGGAATCTAGGAGAGAAAGAAAAAGCCTTACATCAAATAACATTAATGAAATATGACAGCTCAATGAAATGCAAATATTAGGTTATTGATAATCATATTTCATCACATGCAATTTTGGAGTCTGGCATTCTTTTTCATAACTGCTATGATTTCCTGTAAGTATCCTATTATCAAAAACTTCATTAAGGCTGAGCATGGTGGCTCATGCCTATCATCCCAGCACTTTAAGAGGTCAATGCAGGAGGATCACTTGAGTCCTGGAGTTCAAGACCAGCCTGGACAACATGGAATGATTACATCTCTACAAAAATTAGCTGGACGTAGTGGCACATACCTGTGGTCCTAGCTACTCAGGAGGCTGAGGTGAGAGAATCACTTGAGCCCAGAAAGTTAAGACTGCTAGGAGCCGTGATTACACCACTGCACTCCTGGCTTGGGCAATGAAGCACAACTGTGTCTCAAAACACACACACACACACACACACACACACACACACACACACACACACAAACAAAGAAACAAAAACCTTTGTTAAGCCACTCACACTTCCTGTTCTTCAATTTGTTTTCTCTCTTGAGAAAGGGAAACCATCAGCAGAATCTCCATTTCTACATAAGGTTACAAATATAGTGGAATTCAATCAATAGAAAGATGGATAGTCTTAGAAAAGTTACTTAAAACTTAAATGTAGGACTATGACTTCCTTTCAGTTATTCTTCTCAAACATGGACAGTTTCAAATCAACTTACTACTGTTTTTTTTTGAGAGTGCTTGAGCTTTCAGAAAACCTTCTGCAAACCCAGTTTTCAATGCATTTTGGTGAGCTTCAGGTATGTTTTTGGTTTTCATGAGTCTGTCCAAACTCTCAACATCTGATCCTCTGTCCCGCAAAAGAAACCCGTGAATACACAAACAACACATCAATACTGGTTAACGACACAGTGACATTTCCCAACAATATTGTGACCACTCAAATAAATTCACTAAAATTCTATAATTTTTACTGTCAATGTGAAGAAATGGATTAAGACTCAACAATGAATTAATCAATAACTAGGAAACTAACACTAGATCCTATTCCTGCGTTAATCAATTAATAGTATCAAGAAGGTGGCATTATTCTCTGCAAGAATACTATACTGAAAAGAGGTCACATGTTATCTTAGAGTTTGATTGGCTTAATATTCACATCCCTTTATCTCTGCTAGAGGAATAATTTCATTAATTTACTAAATGTCTACTAAGCAGCATTCACATACTTGGTCTTATATAAGTTCTGAAGATGTGGCCAGACGTGGTGGCTCACACCTGTAATCCCAGCACTCTGGGAGGCCAAGGCGGGCAGATCACGAGGCCAGGAGATCGAGACAATGCTGGCTAACTGGTGAAATCCTGTCTCTACTAAAAATACAAAAAATTAGCTAGGCATGGTGGCAGGCACCTGTAGTCCCAGCTACTCAGGAGACTGAGGCAAGAGAATGGCATGAACCCGGGAGGTGGAGCTTGCAGTGAGCTGAAATCGAGCCACTGCACTCCAGCCTGGGAGATAGCACAAGACTCCGCTCAAAAAAAAAAAAAAAAGGTTTTGAAGATGTAAATATAAATAAACCACTGGTCTTAAAGTTTTCAGTCTGTTGGAGAAACATATGTAAATAGCTAAATTTCTTAAATCATTTAGATATTATATTAGAAGTATTAGGTATGCTACCTCAGGAAGACAGGAAAGGTATTATAGAGAATAGGACATCTGAAACACCACTATACAAATTCCACTATATTTGTAACTTACTCTATGTAGAAATGGAGATTCTGCTGATGGTTTCCCTTTCTCAAGAGAGAAAATAAACACCATGAACAATTTGACAGGGGTATGGAACAATTAGCCTTCAGTGCTCAAGATCTACCAGCAATCTTACATAAGACTTCAATGCCAAAAGAAGAGCAAGAAACAGAGGGGCATATTGAATGGCGAGAAGAGAAACATGGCAGGTAGAGACCAAATGATGAAATTCCCAGTATATCAGGTAGAGGTAAGAAATAAAGTAAAGTAATGTAACTAGATCATGATTTTAGAAGGACTGATGGGTGGCAGTCTGGAGGTGCGACTGAATGCAGCAAGACTAGAGGCAAGGAGACTAAACAAGTATTCATTAGAGTAATTTAGGCAACAAATGGTTATAGCCTATCTATGGCAGTGGGACAGATTTAAGAAAGATTTAGGAGGTTGGGTCAACAGGACTTTAGTGGTTAATGGATGTGGGAGGTGAGGCAAGATGGACAAATGTAGGTTGGTAGCCAGGTTTTTAGCTTGGATGAATGCTGTTCATTAATGCAGAGAACACCTAAACAGGTGTAGGTTTGTGGGAAAAAAATCTAGTAAGTAGAGAGGCAAGTCTGGTGGCCAGAAGAGTTAGAGGTATAATGATGACACAGGTTACTAATCCCTTATTGTTAGTGGAAAGAAGGAAAAAAATCTATCAGCCAACGAAAGAAATCAGATGTTGAAGCTCCTCATTGCTTGTTTGTTTGTTGGTTTGTTGTTTTTTGTGTTTTTGTTTTGAGATGGAGTCTCACTCTGTCACCAGGCTGGAGGGCAGTGGAGCAATCTTGGCTCCCTGCAACCTCCACCTCCCGGGTTCAAGTGATTCTCCTGCTTCAGCCTCCCAACTAGCTGGGACTACAGGCGTCTGCCACCACGCCCGGCTAATATTTTGTACTTTTAATAGAGACAAGGTTTCATCATATTGGCCAGGATTGTCTCAATCTCTTGACCACGTGATCTGCCCGCCTTGGCCTCCCAAAGTGCTGGGATTACAGGCATGAGCCACCGCACCCAGCCAAATTAAACAAATTTAATTTGCACGCCTCCTGACCAAATAAGATCCTCAAAAGATGTTTATCTAAGAAATTAAATGTTTACTTCATTGAGACTTCTCAAAAGTTTTGTTGGATCTGCTGTAAATTAAATTTAAAAAGCTGTTGAATGAAGTATATAAAATAACTTAAAGTTGTGTTCCTATAGACAAAGGCAATTTTTTTTTATTGTACCATTTAATCTAAAATCAGTCATGCTTGGTACATGTTACACTTTCTTTCATAAATGTCAACAGGTCACGTTTTCAAAAGCATTGTTATTCAAATGTAGCCAATAAAATGCCTACTACTTTATTTGGCTTCTTCTTTTTTTTTTTTTTTTTTAGACGGAGGTTCGTTCTGTTGCCCAGGCTGGAGGGTAGTGGCGCGATCTTGGCTCACCACAACCTCCACCTCCCGGGTTCAAGCAATTCTCCTGCCTCAGCCTCCCGAGTAGCTGGGACAACAGATATTCACCACCATGCTCGGCTAAATTTTGTATTTTTAGTAGAGACGGGGTTTTATTATGTTGGTCATGCTGGTCTTGAAATCCTGGCCCTGTGATCCGCCCACCTTGGCCTCTCAAACTTCTGGGATAAACAGGTGTGAGCCACTGCTCTCGGTCCATTTTCATTTTTCAATAGCATGTTCTTTAGACATCAATGTTCCATTTCTTTAAAATTTGAGAACATAGAGGAGGCATATTTCAAAAAGAGTTATACATGGTATGCACCATCAGATTGAGCCTCATCATGATATCTACTCATATCTGAGCACCAAAACTCACCAGTGGTTCTCTATTTTTGAACAAACCGATTATTTGTATTGAGTCTTCCTCATCGTCAATATCTTCAGGCATAGGAGGCAACATAGGGTCATAATTCTTCTGAGCCACACTACTACGTACAGAAAGCAAAGCCTGTAACATTCAAAGGTTGATTTAAATATATATATATGAAATATATCATTTCAAACACATCAAACTATAAAGAAAATCAAAACAGCATTACAGTTTTGACATAGTAGTGGTAATAAGGCAGTTACTTGAACAGGTGCCTCTTACAAATGGAATGGGAAATAGTGCTTGTCCAGAGAGCAGATGGCAGCTCTACTTAGCAGCCACCTCTGTCCCCAATGTCACTGATGTATGTAAAGAATTAACATATGATCTCCTCTAACCTGTACATTCTCTGGTTTATCCTTATAAGGGTATCAATTTGGGGCAAGAGTGCAGGGGATGTTATTTTTGGAGGAAGGGAGAACATGAGGGCTAAAGATGCACTGTCAATGAGAGTATGAGAATATTCGATATTTTTTTCTTTCCTACGATTTTTTCTCCTATTACCAGAAAACACAACAATGATCAATATGATGGATTCTTTTTTTCCCCCTCACTTTAATTGTTTGTGTAATTGGTGACTACTATGTGTATAAAATAATAAAAGTAATTCTGGACCAAAGATGAGGAGAACACCAGAACTTTGACATGTCAATATTCACTATTCACTATTTTAGATGAGTGGGTTTTGGACTTTCAATGAACTTGACCCCTAATAAGCAACACCACTCATTTTTCATAAATTACTCAAACCAAAAACCTAGAAATCATCCTTGATTCCTCTCCTCTTACTGACATTCCCAACATCCAATATATATTCTATTTTTAAAAAACTTTTTTTTAGACACAAGATCTAGCTCTGTTACATATGCTGGAGTTCAGTGGTGGGATGATAGCTCGCTGCAACCTCAAACTCCCAGCCTCAAGCGATCCTATTTCCCCAGCTTCCTGAGTAGCCAGGATTACAAACGCATGCCCCAATGCCCAGCTAATTTTTTAATTTTCTTTTTTTTTCTGATAAGAGTCTCACTCTGTCACCCAGGCTGCAGTGCAGTGGCATAATCTGGGCTCACTGCAACCTCTGCCTCCTGGGTTCAAGCAATTCTCTACCTCAGCCTCCCAAGTAGCTGGGATTACAGGTGCCTGCCACCACAAGCAGCTAATTTTTTGTATTTTTAGTAGATACAGGGTTTCATCATCTTGGCCAAGCTGGTCTTGAACTCCTGACATCATGATCCACCCACCTCGGCCTCCCAAAGTGCTGGGATTACAGGCAAGAGCCACTGCACCTAGTCCATATCCTATTAAATCTACTTCCAAAATATACCTAAATTTTTTCTTTACTCTAGATCAGAGATTGGTAACTACAATATCTGTTTTTGTAAATCAGGTTTTACTGGAACACAGCCATACTTGTTCATTCATGCATTGTTTATGGCCGCTGTCATGCTACAATGGCAAAGTTTAGTAGGTAGAACACACACTTCTTACATAAAAAGCTGGCAGGTCCCTGGTCTAGATCATGGATGCCATCATTTTTTGCCTGGAGCACTGCAGTAGTCTTTAAATGGCTCACTGGAATTCAATTCTGGTCCATTTTCAAGTCCACAATTCACAGTGTAGCCAGAATAATTATTTTTAAAACTTAATTACTCAATTAACCCCTTAAGAGCCCTTCTAAAGTTGCCCATCAATCTTGGGATGAAGACTAAACTCTCCAGGATGTCCTAAAATTCCTGCATGCCTCTCCAACCTTATTTTACACTGCGCTCCACCTCACTCAACTTGAACAACTCTTTCTCATAGAGGTCTGGCCAAAACATCTCATAAAAGCAGATCTCTCAGTGACTCGATCCCATAGCACCTTGTTCTTTGCCTTCATACATGTCCATAATTTATAAGCATATGTGCATTTTTATGTTTATATCATTAATATTTGCTGTTTACTGAAATGGAAGTTCTAAAATGGCAACTAGTGTCAGCTTTAAATCAAACTTTTGTATTGACTATAACATATACAAAAAGTACAAATCATAAGTTATAGTAGAAAGAAAAGGGGGAAATGTGGGGAAAAGAAAGAGATCAGATTGTTACTGTGTCTGTGTAGAAAGAAGTAGACATAGGAGCCTCCATTTTGTTCTGTACTAAGAAAAATTCTTCTGCCTTGAAAAAAAAAAGAGTCTTTTGAGGCATAAAAAAAATTTCAAACATGAATATGCCCACATAAACAACCCCCAAACAAGAAATACAGCATTAACCAAACTACAGTGGCCCCCACTTATGCTCCTTCCTAGTCATCATGCCCTCTATACCCAACAAGGTGTCAATCTTTGCCTCTATTTGAAAATTATATAATTAGGATTCCAATTATATAATTCATTATATAATTGCTGTTAGGAACAAGCCCCCCAAAATCTGGCCATAAACAGGCCCCAAAACCGGCCATAAACAAAATCTCTGCAGCACCGTGACATGTTCATGATGGCCGTAATGCCCACGCTGGAAGGTTGTGGGTTTACCGGAATGAGAGCAAGGAACACCTGGTCTGCCCAGGATGGAAAACCTCTTAAAGGCATTCTTAAGCCACAAACGATAGCATGAGCCATCTGTGCCTTAAGGTTGTGCTCCTGCTGCAGTTAACTAGCCCAACCTATTCCTTTAATTCAGCCCATCCCTTTGTTTTCAATAAGGGATAATTTTAATTAATTTAATATCTATAGAAACAATGCTAATGACTGGCTTGCTGCTAATAAATATGTGGATAAATCTCTGTTTGGGGCTCTCAACTCTGAAGGCTGTGAGACCCCTGATTTCCCAATTCACATGTCTATATTTCTGTGTGTGTGTGTCTTTAATTCCTCCAGTGCCGCTGGGTTAGGGTCTCCCCAACAGAGAAGGTCTCAGCAATTGTATAATGTACATTATATAATTATATAAAAATGTGCATTCATTGCCCAGGCATGGTGGCTCACGCCTGTAATCCCAGCACTTTGGGAGGCCGAGGTGGGTGGATCACCTGAGGCTGGGAGTTCAAGACCAGCCTGACCAATATGGAGAAACCCTGTCTCTACCAAAAATAAAAAAAATTAGCTGACATGGTAGCATGTGCCCGCAATCCCAGCTATTTGGGCGGCTGAGGCAGGAGAATTGCTTGAACCCATGAGACAAAGGTTGCAGTGAGCTGAGATCACACCATTGCACTTCAGCCTGGGCAACAGGAGTGAAACTCCATCTAAAAAAATGTGTATTCATTTATTCCAATATTAAGTTAGTGAAATTCACCCATGCTGTTACTGATGGTAGAAGTAATTAATTTTCCTTCTTATATAGTATTCCAACATATAAATATCTTAGTTTTCCCATTTTGCCTTTGAGGGTCATCTGGGTTGTTTTTAGTTCTTGGCTAATATAAATAATTCTGGAATAAATGTTTCATATCTTTTGATGAACATATATATATATATATAATGTTAGTTAAGTATATTTAAGAGTAGAACATAAGTATATTTAAGAGTAGAACATCTGGGTCATGGGTTATATAGTAAGTACATTCAACATTAGTAATGTTTTTCAATTATGCTTCCACCAACAACATATGTGAGTTCTAGCTGTCTAACATGATCCCAGGCATTTTATATTATTCGTTTAAATTTGGCCGTTCTGAATGTATAGTGGTATATTCTGTGGTTGAAATGATCATTTGCCTTATAATGAATGAGACTGAAACCATTTTGTGTTTATTGGGCATGTGTGTCTCTTTGTGAGATGCCTCCTCAAGATATTTGCATGTTTTTCTGTTGCATCTGTCTTTTTCTTATTAATTTGTAAGAACTATTTATAATATACTGGACCCAAGTTTTTGTCAGTTATATGTACTACAAATACATTCTCCCTTTTGGTAGCTTACCCTTTCACTCTCCTTCTTGGTGATTTTTGCTCAATAAAGGATCCTAATTTTAATGACCTCAATTAATGTTTTTTCCTTTGTGGTTCATGCTTTTTGTATCGAATAAGACTTTCAAAGTGGAAAAAATAAACAACATCAATGTGGTAAAATACCTAAGAAGATAATGGCTGTAAATCTTTGAGAACTGATGAGAGAAAGACTCTAAAGTTTCAGGAAAAATATATCAGGAAGCCTGATATATCCTGCAGGAACAAGGAAAAATAAAAAGAAACCTATGCTTACTACATCATAGCAGAACTGCAAAATGGCAAAGGCAAAGAGAAGATCTTAAAAGTGCTCAGAGCAAAAAAGACAGATCATCAGAAAGGAAAGAAGAAAATTGATTGACAGTTGAATAACAGCAGCAGTGGACACCAGAAGATAGTTCAAATACTTTCAAAGTGCTTAGAAAAAACAAAAGCCAGTCCAAAATTGTGTATCCAGCAAAAGTATCTTTCAAGAATAAGGATGAGGACCAAGATGAGGTTAACAGGGATCCACCTGAAAAAACTAAAGACTAAAAATAAATAAAAATAAAGGATAATGAAACAATAGTTTTCAAATATACCGGACATTAAGCAACAAGGGGCAGAGATTTTTGAGAGACAGGAAGCAATGTGAACCTATGATTGCACCAGCATTACAGCCTAGAGTTTCCAGGCTGTGATGGGGAAAAAGAAACATAGGCAAAACTCAGTGGTCTCCTTGAGATGAGAAAACAGAGCTGAGAATCCAGGGAGGTCAACTGACTAAAGTTCTCAGGGAAGCCTATAGAAGAGGAAAGGGGGGCAGATACAGAATTTGGGAGATGGTAGGAGGTCTCACTTGAGTCCTGAGCAGTCTTTAGCCATGGCATGCATATAAGAAAACCATGAGAAAGGATTAGAGCAGTGGTTCTTAACTGAGAGCAACTATACTCGCTTGGAGCCACTGGCAATATCTGGAGACATTTTTTGATTGTCACAATTTAAAGGATGTCACCACCACCTACAGTACTGAGGCCAGGGATGCTCCTAAACATCTGATCATATACAGGACAGTCCCCTCCCCTCTAGAAACAATTATCCAGCACATAAATGTCAATAGTTCTAAAGTTGAGAAACTGCATTACAAGGAATAATCCCTGAAGTTAGCATAGGGAAGAAATAGCTGTTTTTATCATCAGTTAGCAGGAAAAACTTCATAATTCATAGGCACTGAGAAGAGTTATGGATTGGGTATTGTCTCAATAGTGGAAAAAATAAGCCCAAGATTTAATGCTGCTATGATCTCACCTAAAAAATAGGTTTAGGGTCAAGCGCAGTGGCTCACACCTGTAATTCTAGCACTTTGGGAGACTGAGGTGGGTGGATTGCCTGAAGCTCAGGAGTTCAAGACCAGCCTGGGCACATGGTAAAACCCCGTGTCTACTAAAAAATACAAAAAAATTAGCCAGGCATGGAACTGGGCACCTGTAGTCCCAGCTACTCGGGAGGCTGAGGCAGGAGAATCACTTCAACCCAGGAGGCAGAAGTTGCAGTGAACCGAGATCACACCACCACACTCCAGCCTGGGTGACAGAGTGAGACTCTGTCTCAAAAAATAAAAAGGAAAAAAAGCTTAAAAATAAGCCTCTGAAAGATCAAAATGTTTCCAAGTAATTTAACTGTATAACAAAATGAAGCTCAACAATACTATCTATAGCAGGGGTCTTCAACCCCAGGCCACAGACCAGTACCCATTAATGGCCTGTTAGGAACCAGGCTACACAGCAGGAGGTAAATACTGGTGAGCAAGCAAAGCTTCATCTATATTTATAGTTGTTCCCCATCACTTGCATTACTTCCTGAGCTCCACCTCCTGTCAGATCAGCGGCAGCATTAGATTATCATAGGATCATGAACCCTATTGTGAACTGAGTATGCGAGGATCTAGGTTGCATGCTCCTTATGAGAATCTAATGCCTGATGATCTGTCACTGTTTCCCATCACCACTACATGGGATCATCTAGTTGCAGTGAAACAAGCTCAGGGCTCCCACTGATCCTACATTAAGGTGATTATGTAATAATAATAGAAATAAAGTACACAATAAATGTAATGCACTTGAGTCACACTGAAATCACTCCCAGACCCACATCTGTGGAAAAATTGTCTTCAATGAAGCTGGTCCCTGGTGCCAAAAAAGTTGGAGAAGGCTAATATACAGAAACACAAAAATACCCAGCATCCAACAAGATAAAACTCATGGTTACTGGTAGTCGATCAATATAAAACTCACAATGATTCAGAATTACTAGGTATGCAAAGAAAACAGAAAATACTGCTCCTAATGAAGGAAAAAAAAAAAACAATGAAACCAAACCCTGAAATTACACAGATGATAAACCAGACAAAACCAAACCCTAAAATTACACAGATAGCAGACAAGAATACTAAAACTTATTATTATAACTATATTTCAAATGCTCAAAAAAGTTAAGGAAAGACTAAACATGAGATATAGAATATATAAAAATTACTCAAATCAAACTTCCAGAGATGGAAAGTATGAAATAAGAAAAAAGTACGCTGGATGAGATTAATATAGCTACTGCAGAAGGAAAAGTAATCTTGTAGAGTAAGCAACATAAGCTGTCTAAAATGAAACACAAAGAGAAAATATACTGAGAAATTATGAACCGGGCTTAGTGATCTGGGGAACTACTTTAAATGGCCTAATATATGTGTTAACTGGCATCTCCAAAGAAAGGGGGCAGTTGCTGAAAACTATTTAAAGAAATATGGCAGCAAATAGTCCAAATATGATGAAAAAACTATAAAACCACATGTTCAAGAAACTCAATGTACCCACACACACAGAAAACATACAATACCACTAAATTGCTTAAAACCAGGAAGAAAATATTAAAATCATCCAAAGGAAAAAAACACATTATATATAAAAGAATAAGGATTAAAAACTACAGCACACTTCTCATCAGAAACAATGTGGGCCACAAAACAATGGAGCAATATCTTTAAAATACTCAGAGAAAAATACTGTTGACTTAGAATTCTATACCTAGCAAAAATATCTTTTAGAAATGAAGGGGTATTGAAAACTTTTTAAAGATATGCAAAAGCTAAAAGAATTCATCACCAGCAGACTTGCATTGCAAGAGATGTCACAGAAAGACTTCAGATGGGAGGAAAATGTTGACAGATGGAAATGTGAGTACATACAGAGGAATAAAGAACACTGGGAATGCCTACTATCTTTGTATCTATGGCAACTATCTTGTACATAGTAAAATAGAGATAGCTGAATAAAATGTTTTTAAATAAAGCAATTTTGATAATTGACAGGCAATATTAAGAACATCAGCTAAATATTTTTTTCTCCTTAGCTTTGTTCCATGTCTACATTCCAAAACAATTTCATAGGCATTATTTTCATAATTTTAATTTATTTTACAATTATTGTTGAATAGCAACATTTTTAATTTTGGACAACTAAAACAAATTTTTCATTCTATTATCCTGTTTTAACTGAGTTGATTTTATTCTTTAATATACAGACTTGCCTTTCAAAAGGCAATACTTAAATGGAAATTTTATTTCCGCATGCCAGAACCACCAATCACAACTGACGGTTTACCTGTTGCTCACAAGAATCTGCAGGAAATTGAACCCTAGGCCTTGTAACTCATTGGACTCACAAACACTCACTGCACTGGACCCCCTGGGGTCAACTTTATGTCATAAGTATCTGTCAGGTTCACAGAATTAAGTGTCCAGCTTATAAGGATGAGTAACATTGATTTATCCCTCCAGAAGGAAGCTTAACTTTTTCCTTCAGTTTGCTTTAATGAAGCCTCATCCATCTTGCATGCTCAGGCAGTGAGTAATTTCTGTTAAGTGAATTTTTGGAAGCTAAAAATTACAACAAATCTTCTCATTTTATTGCCTTTTAAAAAAATCTACCAAATTTTCCCTGACTTCCAAAATTATAATGCTGTATTCTAGAGATGATGTCACTTCATTGTTTCATCAAAAGTGAGCCCCTGGAATGATGACTCATACAGGTTAATTTGCCTTTAATGTGGCAATTTGATGCTTAGAAATGGTTCTGATTTATTAATGACTATCTTTGCTTCCCCTAGAAATAAAGTCTGTGTATAGAACAACATCCCTCCATCAATGCTCCTAAATGTTATGGACATTATTGCTTTTGTCTATTTCATTGCTGCAGGGAGTATTCACATTCAATTAATCTAGTTAGGCCTTTGGCTACTTACTTCTTTACATTTTCAGACATCTATTTTTTTATACTGCGCTTATTTTCCTGAATTGGATTTTGCTGACATTATTCACTAATAAGAATAATCTATTTTTTAATATGGCAATTGACTGATCAATTCATTCTGGGTATAATCTTTCAATTTTTGACAGTTCTCAGGTGACACTATTGTTACAGAATATCAAGTCATTTTCTAACTATTAAAGACTTGATGGTAACAGGTTATACAAAAGAAGTGTTGGCATTCTTCTGAACAGAGCAAGAGATTCCTAAAGAGTAAAATGAACAAAATCGCAATCTTATACTATTATGACTTAAAGAATATGAAAGAAAAGTTTGAATGTCATATAAACGTACAGAATTGTCTTATATGAAGAGACAAAGGCTATAATGGAATAAAAATTTCATCAAACATTTAATAATTTACATTGAATTCAGTTTACTGGGAATCCCAATGTTGCAAGCACAGTGCTATGTGCTAGAAACAAAAATAAGAAGACCATCCTGTGAACCAGTAAGAAAGACATACTTGTGTTCTTTATTAGGTATAGAACACAGAAAAATCCCCGAAATACACACACATACACACACACACACACACACACACGCACAAATCTGTTAAATGTCCTGTTTAGTTTCTGGATACAAGTTTTTGAGCTTTAGTTTTCCTAATCTTTAAAAAGAGTTAATATTAGTCGGACACCGTGGCTCACTATTGTAATCCTAGCACTTTGGGGGACCTAGGCAGGTGAATCACGAGGTCAGGAGATCAAGACCATCCTGGCTAATATGGTGAAATCTTGTCTCTACTAAAAATACAAAAAATTAGCTGGGCGTGGTGGCAGACGCCTGTAGTCCCACCTACTCGGGAGGCTGAGGCAGGAGAATGGTGTAAACCCAGGTGGTGGAGCTTGCAGTGAGCCAAGATCAGGTCACTGCACTCCAGCCTGGGTGACAGAGTGAGACCCTATCCCCCCCAACAAAAGAGTTAATATTTGTACCTACTTCTTAATAGGGCTTCACAATGATTAAAGAGATAATACATGAAAGTGCACAGCAAAAAGGCTGGTCCATAGTAAAGACTTCATATTATTGATTTATTACCTATTACAATTAACTTTAATGATTATCTTATTTTAGGAATAGTCACTTTGAATATTTAAGTTTATCTATAAACTTGTAGAGGAACATACACACATTTTTAAAAATCCTTTCCATATAGCTATTCTTTTCCTTCATATATTTGCCAAAGTTGACCAAACTAGCAAGCAAACATCTTTAACAAATTTTACACTAAAAAGGTTAACAGGTTCTATATTGTGATAAAAATGGATCAAACTAGAAATTAGCATCTGCAAATATAAAATACGTACATCTGTAAATATAAAAAAATAAAAAAATGAAACCCAGACTACCTCCCAAATTTAAATAAGTCAGGATATTGAAGTTATTAAAATGTATTATAGACAATCAAGAAATTAATATAAATGCCAATATGACATACATGATGTCCATGGAAGGTGAAAGAAATTTAAAAGAAAGCCACACATTCTTACATGCATTTGTAATTAAACAAGTGTGAAAGCTAAGTATTCCACTAAATGAAAGCAAAGACAGATATAAAGAAAAGAGTTAGACCAGGTACAGTGGCTACCGTTTATAATCCCAATACTTTGGGAGGATGAGGCAGGAGGATCACCTGAGGTCAGAAGCTTGAGATGAGCCTGGCCAAAATGGTGAAACTGCATCTCTACTAAAAATACAAAAATTAGTTAGCCACGGTGGCATGTGCCTGTAATCTCAGCTACTTGGGAGGCTGAGGCAGGAGAATTGCTTGAACCTGGGAGGTTGAGGTTGCAGGGAGTGGAGATCACACCACTGCACTTCAACCTGGGTGACAGAGTGAGACTTAGTTTCAAAAAAAAAGAAAAAGAAAAGAAAAAAAGAAAGAAAAATAGAATTGATAATAAAGAGCCAGTTCTTTTGAGAGATGAGATAATTAGGCATTTCTAGTATGCACAGCAAGGAGCTAGAGAAAACATTGTATATTAATAGCACTGAGAAACAAGACAGAACTTCAGATACAAATCAACAGAATGCATTGAAAACCACTGGAACGTGCTTGAAATCTTAATAAAATGTTAAGTTTCCTAGGAAAAAATAAATAATGAAGCCCGAAAGCTGGATCAACTCGATAACTACAGAATAAATTGAAAGCACTGTCAAAAAATTTTCCTCAGAAATGGCATTTGAACAAAATGAAGGGTTGTATTAAAGTTTTCTGTTTTATTTACAGCATTCCAACACATAGTAAAACATAACATTTCTTTTTCAAAGGTCTCACAACCCAAATGCAAAACCTAACCAGAAAGTATGAAAAGATGACAGCACAACTTTGGTCTCCGGATGATTTTTTAAAATACCTAAGTAATATATTACAAAATCAGATGTAAAAATCTTCTTTTATAGAAGACATTTATGCAGCCAACAAACATAAGAAAAAAAGCTCATCATTGCTGGTCATTAGAGAAATGCAAATCAAAACCGCAATGAGATACCATCTCATGCAAGTTAGAATGGTGATCATTAAAAAGTCAGGAAACCACAGATGCTGGAGAGGATGTGGAGAAATAGAAACGCTTTTACACCGTTGGTGGGAGTGTAAATTATCTCAATCATTGTGGAAGACAGTATGGCAATTCCTCAAGGATCTAGAACCAGAAATACCATTTGACCCAGCAATCCCATTATTGGGCATATACCCAAAGGATTATAAATCATTCTACTACAAAGACACATGCAAGTGGATGTTTATTGCTGCACTGTTCACAATAGCAAAAACTTGGAACCAACCCAAATGTCCATCAATGATAGACTGGATAAAGAAAATGTGGCACATATACACCATGGAATATTATGCAGCCATTAAAAAGGATGAGTTCATATCCTTTGCAGGGACATGGATGAAGTTGGAAAACATCATTTTCAGCAAACTAACACAAGAACAGAAAACCAAACACCTCATGTTCTCACTCATAAGTAGGAGTTGAACAATGAGAATACACGGACACAGGGAGGGGAACACCCCACACCAGGTGCTGTTGGGGGATGAGGGGCTAGTGGAGGGATAGGATTAGGAGAAATACCTAATGTAGGTGACAGGTTGATGGGGGCAGCAAACCACCATGGCACGTGTATACCCATGTAACAAACCTGCACATTCTGCATATGTACCCCAGAACTTAAAGTATAATAAAAAACAATCTTTTTTTATCAAAAAGAAGATTTAACCCCAAGAATTTAATGTTTTGTCAATATAAATATCTGCACATTATTATTTATGTTAACAACTAAAAAAGCTTCTATGATCACTTTGATAAGTACCATAAAGGCATTTGACAAAATGTAATATAATCTTGATTTTTTAAAAAAATGACAGAACAAAATTTTGTAAAATATTCTATCAGAAACCAGCAACAAACATTATACAGGATGTTTGATGATAATAACAGGAAGCACAGAGGTATAATAACAGGAAGCACAGAAGTATCCCCATAAAAGTACAGAAAAACAAAAACATATCCTTTATTTACTACAAGTTTTGAGCATTTTTTTTGTGCAAGTCATATCAAGGCAATAAGGTAAGGGGAAAATGATCTGTAATTACTAAAAAGGAAAAGATTTAAAAATCTTAATAACATAACATCGAACATTTTAAAAAATAATATATATCAGTAAGGTGACATAAAATAAGTATTATGGAAATTAACATATTTACTATATAGAAACAATATACTTGTTAGAAAACAATAAATAGTATACATTGGGGAAAATTAATTTATATACATGTATATGTGTGTATACATATAAATATATGAGTGCATGCACACACACATACACATCAGGCCTGGGAACAGACTTAGCAGGAAATATTCCAGGTTTATGTAAGAAACAATTTGACCTAAATAAATAAATTGCCATGTTCTTTCACTGGAAAATTCAACTGCATCCCAATGGGTTTTTTTAATGACATGAAGAGAGAATTCTAAATTTCTTCAGGAAAAATACATTTGCAAGAATAATGATAGAAATTTGGCCTTAGCAGGTATCATGCTATAATTACTAAAATGATAAGATAACCAAATTAACAACAATCAAACCAAGAGTTCAAAACAGATTCATGAATATAATAAAGACAAATCAGACTGTGAGAAAATTGCTATCCACTGGAATTAAAAAAACTAGAACCACTTCTTATACCATACACCAAATTTTCATACAGATTAATGATTTCAAACTTTAAAATTCAATTTTTTAAAAAGTCAAAAGAAAATAAGAAAGAAAATTTTCCTGAAGTTGTCATGAAGAATGGCAGTCCTTTCTAAGCTAACTCAGTGCCCAGAAGTCATAAAGAAAAAGCACACCAAATTCTACTACATAAAAGTACATATTTCTACACAGTCTTACAAAATGCATGTAAGATTAAAGAGAAATAACTGAGGAGAAATATATAATAATGATTTTATACTCTTATATCAATCACAATTCATTAGGAATAACATAAAATTTTTACTAACCATTATTTAATCATGCAGTACTCACCGAAAGCTTGCTATACGTCTGCAACTTTTATTCCCTACTCTCATGTAGCTTACATTCTAGTGGTGATCAACTAGAAAAGCTAGAAAGGAATATTACTTGAGGCTGTGTATGGTGACTCACATTTGTAATCCCAGCACTTTGGGAGGACTAGGTGAGTGGATCACTTGAGGCCAGGAGTTCGAGACCAGCCTGGCCAATATGCCAAAACCCCAACTCCACAAAAAATACAAAAATTAGCCAGGTGTGGTGACACGAACCTGTAGTCCCAGCTAGTTGGGAGGCTGAGGCAGGAGAATAGTTTGAGACCAGAAGGTAGAAGTTACAGTCAGCTGAGATTGTGCCACTGCACTTCAACCTGGGCAACAGAGTGAGACTCTGTCTCAAAAAAAAAAAGAATATTAATTAAAAAGAGCTTATGCAAATTGCAACAGCATAAGGAAACATGCCTTCTCATGCACTATACTGCAGGTGCTCGAGAAGGTCTGTCTTAACAACCAGCTGGAAATAATGATCAAAACTGTAAAATGTACAAACATTATGTATGCACCAATAATTTACTGTCCTAATTAAAGTATATTTTGACAAAATCCATAAAATTGTCTAATATACAAAAGATGTGCATCATAGTGTTATTTAAACAGCAGAAAAGCAGAAATAACAAAGGTTCATCTATAAGGAAAAATTAAATCGATAATTTTGTTGACACAAAGAGAAGGCTACAAAATACCAAAAATATTAAAAGCAAAAAAAAAATCACAGTAATTAGTGCATTCTGTGATCCCATAGAATATACTGGGACAAAACCACATATTTTATATATATATATACATATTCACACATACACACATACATATATATGTGTATATATATACATGTATGTATGTGTATATATATATGTGTGTATATATATATACACACACACACACACACACACACACACACAGAAAGGGTTGCAAGGTAATGCAGCTAGCCAAGAAGAAGAAAAACATGTAACTTTAGGAAAAGATACTCGTCCTCACTAATAAATCAAGGAAGATAGGGGCTATTGCTTTCTTTTTAATTTGAATGAAAAATACAATTATGTATTATCAAAAAAGAATATTTCTATTTCCTTTTAAGTATCAAGTCACTTTGTAAAAGGAAAAATAAAGGAAACATAATAAATTATGACATCTTATTAAGGACAAATATCATAAATCATGTATATTAATAAATGATTCCTTCTAACCTCACTTAAGGATTTTAAAATATTACTTCCTTTATGGGTGCGTGTTTGTGTGTCTGTATGTGTGTATTCCTGTCTTTGTGTTTCAAATGCTTTTCTATTCCATATTCACATAACTTTCTTTTTTCTTTTTTTTTTTTTTGAAATGGAGTCTCCCTCTGTCCCCTAGGCTGGAGTGCAGTGGCGCAATCTCAGCTCACTACAAGCTCCACCTCCCATGTTCATGCCATTCTCCTGCCTCAGCCTCTCGAGTAGCTGGGACTACAGGTGCATGCCACCACGCCCGGCTAAATTTTTGTATTTTTAGTAGAGATGGGTTTTCACCATGTTAGCCAGGGTGGTCTCGATCTGCTGACCTCATAATCTGCCTGCCTTGGCCTCCCAAAGTGCTGGGATTACAGGCGTGAGCCTCTGCTCCTGGCCCATGATCGTATAACTTTCAAATTTTCTTCTAATATATATTTTTCGATTAAAAATATTCTTTTTTTTTCTTTTTTTATTTTGAGATGGAGTCTCTCTCTGTCGCCCAGGCTGGAGTGCAGTGGCGCAATCTCTGCTCATTGCAACCTCCGCCTCCCGGGTTCATGCCATTCTCCTGCCTCAGACTCCCAAGTAGCTGGGACCACACGCTCCCGCCACCACATACGGCTAATTTTTTATATTTTTAGTAGAGATGGGGTTTCACCGTGTTAGCCAGGATGCTCTCGATCTCCTGACCTCGTGATCCACCCGCCTTGGCCTCCCAAAGTGCTGGGATTACAGACGTGAGTCACAGCGCCCGGCCCAATAATATTCTTATGGTTCAACTTTTTACACTTAAATTTTTAATATATTTGGAGTTCACTCCAGTGGCAACTGTTCTATTTTTATCCGAAAGTATTAGTTATTCCAAGACCACATATTGAAGTTGTCCCTCAAGCTGCCCATCCCCCATGCTTCCTTCCACCCATCCCATACTCTTTCATTAGGACCTCAATCGTGTGCTTTTGTGTGTGTGTGTATGTGCTTGTGTGTGTGTGTGTGTGTGTGTGTGTGTGTGAGGGAGTTTTACTCTTTCACCCAGGCTGGAGTGAAGAGCACAATCTCAGCTCACTGCAACTTCCTTCTCCCAGGTTCAAGTGATTCTCCTGCCTCAGCCTCCCAAGTAGCTGGGATTACAGGCAACTGCTACCATGCCCGGGTAATTTTCGTATTTTTAGTAGAGACAGGGTTTCACCATGTTGGCCAGGCTGGTCTCAAACTCCTGACCTTAGGTGATCAGCCCACCTTGCAGACCAAAGTGTTAGTGTTCTATCATCTGAATTATTTCTACAGGCTCCTATTGGCCTTCCTTCATTCAGCATTGCATTTCTCCCATTCTACACCTTCCAATGCCTCAAAAGGCTGGTCTACATATGGAGTGACATGTCACTTCTTCCTTCAAATCCTTTGAATCACTTTCCACTTTTTAATAAGCTTACGATTTCAGGTGTGGCCATATAATTTATCCTCCAAATAGGGAAACAATTGAAAGTGGGAGAAAGGCTATTTATTTGTAATAATGCTGGAACTGCAGGCATGAAACAGACGGTCCTGGACATACCCTACTCAAAAGGCTCCAAACTGTTACCACTTCCTCCTTCACAATCCAACCATTCTGAGGCTGGTTTTGCATTTCTACATCTTCAAATTTAAAGTTTTCTTTACGGGACTTTACATGCTCTTCCCTTTACCGAAATGGTTTCTTTTTCACATCGCACCCCCAACCCATTTCCCACTTCTTTGTGCCCTTCTCGTTCCCTCAAACTCCATGATGAGGTCTCAACTTATATGGCACTTCCTCTGTAAAGATTTATTTAACACTCTCCCCCTGCCCAACTTTGGGTTTAGCACAATTCCTATGTATTTCATATCATTTCCATGCACTTCCTCTTTTAAATCCAGTATTTCTCCTATCACCTTCACTAGTGTACATATATCTTCTATAATCTGCATCCGTAGGTCCTGACACACAGTAGGCATTAATAGAAAAAAAACCTAAGAATAAATGAATGGCCGGTCACAGTGGCTCATGCCTGTAATCCCAGCACTTTCGGAGGCTGCAGCAGTCTTACAGAATCCTTTGTGAGTTACTAACATTCAGAACCTCGTAGCAGTGTTCTGGAATCGTGTGTAAGGGACAAACTTTCTGAAACCAGCAGCAGTGTTTTGGAATCCCATGTGAGGGAGAAAAACTCAGAACCCAGCAGCAGGGTTCTGGAATCCTATGTGAGTGACAAACACTAAGAAATCTGCAGCAGTTTTATGGAATCCTATGTGAGGGACAAACACTCAGAACTCAGCAGCCGTGTTCTGGAATCCGATGTGAGGGACAAACACTCAGAAATCAGCAGCAGCGTTCTGGAATACTAGGTGAGAGACAAACACTCAGAACACAGCAGCAGTGTACTGGAAGCCTATGTGAGTGACACTCAGAAAATAGCAGCAGTGTTATGGAATCCTCTGTGCGGGACAAACACTCAGAACCCAGCAGCAGTGTTCTAGAATCGTTTGTGAGGGACAAACATTCAGAGACTCGTAGCAGTGTTGTGGAATCGTATGTGAGGGACAGACAGAATGTGGCAGCAGTGTTCTCCAATCCCATGTGAGGGAAAAACACTCAGAACCCAGCAGCAGTGTTCTAGAATATTTGTGAGGCACAAACATTCAGAAACTAGTAGCAGTGATCTGGAATTGTATATGAAGGACAAACACTCTGAAACCAGCAGCACAGTTTTGGAATCCCACGTGAGGGAAAGACATTCACAATCCAGCAGCAGTGTTCTGGAATCCTATGTGAGGGACAAACACTCAGAACCCAGCAGCAGTGTTCTAGAATCCTTTCTGAGGCACAAACATTCAGAAATTAGTAGCAGTGTTGTGGAATCGTACGTGAGGGACAAACACTCTGAACCCAGCTGCAGTGTTTTGGAATCCCATGTGAGGAACAAACACTCAGAAGCCAGAAGCAGTGTTCTGGAATCCTATGTGAGTGACAAACACTCAGAACCCAGCAGCAGTGTTCTAGAATCCTTTGTGAGGCACAAACATTCAGAAACTAGTAGCAGTGTTCTAGAATCGTATGTGAGGGACAAACACTCTGAACCCAGCAGCAGTGTTTTGGAATCCCATGTAAGGAACAAACACTCTGAACCCAGCAGCAGTGTTTTGGAATCCCATGTGAGGGACAAACACTCAGAAGCCAGAAGCAGTGTTCCGGAATCCTATGTGAGTGACAAACACTCAGAACCCAGCAGCAGTGTTCTAGAATCCTTTGTGAGGCACAAACATTCAGAAACTAGTAGCAGTGTTCTGGAATCGTATGTGAGGGACAAACACTCTGAACCCAGCAGCAGTGTTTTGGAATCCCATGTAAGGAACAAACACTCTGAACCCAGCAGCAGTGTTTTGGAATCCCATGTGAGGGACAAACACTCAGAAGCCAGAAGCAGTGTTGCGGAATCCTATGTGAGTGACAAACACTCAAAATCCAAAAGCAGTGTTCTAGAATCCTTTGTGAGGGACAAACCTTCAGACCCTCAAAGCACTGTTCTGGAATACTGTGTGAGGGAAAAACACTCAGAAACCAGCGGGAGTGCTCTGGAATCCCTTGTGATGGACAAACACTCACAGTCCTAAAGCAGTATTCTGGAATCCTTTGTGAGGGACAAAAACTCAGAACCCAGCAGCAGTGTTTTGGAATACCATGTGAGGTACAAACACGCAGAACCCAGCAGCAGGGTTCACGAATCCTTTGTGAGGGACAAACCTTCTGACCCTCAAAGAAGTGATCTGGAATCGCATATGAGGGCCAAACACTTCGAACCCAGTCGCAGGGTTCTGCAATGCATTGTGATGGAGAAACATTCAGACCGTCGTAGCTGTGTTCTGTAATCCTATGTGAGGGACAAACACTCAGAACCCAGTAGGAGAGTTTTAGAATCCTTTGTGAGGGACAAAGACTCAGAACCCATCAGCAGTGTTCTGGAATCCTGTGTGCGGGACAAACACTCAGAACCCAGCCACTGTGTTCTGGAATCCCATCTGAGGGACAAGCATTCAGACACTCGTAGAAGTGTTCTGGAATACTATGTGAGGGACAAACATACAGAACACAGTAGCAGTCTTCTGGAATCCCATGTGAGGGACAAACACGCAGAACCCAGCAGCAGGGTTCTCAAATCCTATGTGAGTGGAAAACAATCAGAACCCAGAAGCAGTTTTCTAGAATCCTTTGAGAGGGACAAACCTTCTGACCCTCGAAGAAGTGATCTGGAATCGTATGTGTGGGCAAAACACTCCGAACCCAGTAGCAGGATTCTGGAAACTTATCTGAGAGACAAAAATTCAGAACCCAGCAGCAGTGTTCTGGAATCCTATGTGAAGGAATAATACTCAGAACTCAGCCACGGTGTTTCTGGAATCCTATCTGAGGGATAAACATTCAGACCCTCGTAGCAGTGTTCTGGAATCCTGTGAGGGAAAAACACTCAGAATCCAGCAGCAGAGTTCTGGAATCCTTTGTGAGGGACAAACACTCAGAACCCAGCAGCACTGTTCTGGAATCCTTTGTGAGGGACAAACATTCAGAACCTCGTAGCAGTGCTCTGGAATCGTACATGAGGGACAAATACTCTGAACCCAGCAGCAGTGTTTTGGAATCCCATGTGAGGGACAAACACTCAGAACCCAGCATCAGTGTTCTGGAATCCGTTGTTATGGGCAAACATTTAGACCGCCTAGCAATGTTCTGGAATCCTATTTGAAGGAGAAGCACTCAGAAACCAGCAACAGTGTTCTGGAATCCTATGTGAGCAAGAAAAACTCCGAACTTAGCAGCAGTGTTCTGGAATCCTAAGTGAGGGACAAAACCTCAGAACCCAGCAGCAGTGTTCTGGAATCCCACGTGAGAGAAAAACACTCACAACCCAGCAACAGTGTTCTGGAAGCCTATATGAGGGACAAATACTCAAACTCACCAAAAGTGTTCTCGAATACTATGTCATGGAAAAGCACTCAGAATCCAGCAGCAGTGTTCTGGAATCCCTTGTGATGGGCAGACATTCAGACCCTCGTAGCAGAGTTCTGGATTCCTATGTGAGGGACAAACAATCAGTACCCAGTAGCACTGTTCTGGAATCCTATGTGAGGGACAAACACTCAGAACCCAGCAGCAGTGTTCTGGAATCCTATATGAGGGAGAACACTCACAACCCAGGAGCAGTGTTGTGGAGTCCTATGTGAGGACAAACTTTCAGAACCCAGCGGCAGTGATCTGGAAATCTATGTGAGGGACAAACACTCAGAAACCAGCCACTGTGTTCTGGTTTCCTATATGAGGGACAAACATACAGACACTCGTAGAGGTGTTCTGGAATCCTATGTGAGGGACAAAGACTCAGAAACCAATAGCTGTGCTCTGGAAACCTTTGTGAGGGACAAACACACAGAACTCAGCAGCAGTATTCTGGAATCCTTTCTGAGGGAAAAACATTGCGACCCTCCTAGCAGTGTTCTGGAATCCTACGTGAGGGACAAAAACTCAGGACCCAGCAGCAGTGTTCCGGACTCCTATGTGAGGGATAAACACTCAGAAACCAGCAGCAGTGCTCAGGAATCCTTTGTGAGGAACAAACATACAGAACTGAGCAGCAGTGTTTTGGAATCCTACGTGAGGGACAAACATTCAGTACATCTTAAGAGTATTCTGAAATCGTATGTGAGGGACAAACACTCGCAACCCAGCAACAGTTTTCTGGAATCCTATGTGAGTGACATACACTCAGACCCCAGCAGCTCTGTTCTAGAATCCTATGTGAGGAACAAACACTCAGAACCCAGCAGTAGTGTTCTAGAATCCTTTGTGAGGGACAAATGCTCAGAACCCAGCAGCAGTGTTCTAGAATCCTTTGTGAGGGACAAACGCTCAGAACCCAGCAGCAGTGTTCTAGAATCCTTTGTGAGAGACAAACACAAAGAAGCCATCAGCAGTGTTCTAGAATCCTTTGTGAGGGACAAACACTCTGAACCCAGCAGCAGTGTTTTGGAATCTCATGTGAGGGACAAACACTCAGAACCCAGCAGCAGAGTTCTTGAATCTTATGTGGGTGAAAAACAATCAGATCCCAGTAGCAGTGTTCCAGAATCTTTTATGAGGGACAAAACTTCAGACCCTTGAAGAAGTGTTCTGGAATCATATGGGAGGGAGAAATACTCAGAACCCAACAGCAGGGTTCTGGAATCCTATGTGAGGGACAAACACTCAGAACCCAGGAGTAGTGTTCCGGAATCCTCTGTGAGGGAAAAACATTCAGAACCCAGCAGCAGTGTTCTGGAAACCTATGTGAGTGACAAGAATTTGGAACACAGCAGTAGTGTTCTAGAATCCTTTGTGAGGGACCAACATTCATACCCTCGAAGCAGTGCTCTGGAATCCTAAGTGAGGGACACACACTCAGAACCAAGCAGCAGTGTTCTGGAATCCTAAGTGAGGGACAAACACTAAGACCCAGAAGCAAGGTTCTGGAATCCTATGTGAGGGACAAGCACTCAGAAACTAGCAGCGTTGTTCTGCAATGCTATGTGAGGGACAAACACTCAGCACCCAGCAACTCTGTTCTGGAAACCTATATGAGGGACAAACATTCAGACACTTGTAGAAGTGCTCTGGAATCCTACGTGAGGACAAACACTCAGAAACTAGCAGCAGTGCTCAGCAATCTTTTGTGAGGGACAAACATACAGAACACAGCAGCAGTGTTTTGGAATCCTATCTGAGTGACAAACACTCAGAACCCTGCAGCAGTGTTCTGGAAACCCATGTGACGGACAAACACTCAGGACCCAGCAGCAGTGTTCCAGAATCCTTTGTGAGGAACAAACACACAGAAACCAGCAGCAGTGTTCTGGAACCCTGGGTAAGGGACAAACACTCAGAACGTAGGAGCAGTGTTCTAGAATCCTTCATGAGGGAAAAACTCTCAGAATCCAGCAGCAGTGTCCTAGAATACTTTTTGAGGGACAAACACTCAGAAGCCAGCAGCAGTGTTCTGGAATCCTATGTGAGGGACAAAAAATCAGAACCCAGCCATTGTGTTCTGGAATCCTATCTGAGGGACAAACATTCAGACACTCGTAGAAGTGTTGTGGAATCGTATGTGAGGGACAACACTCAGAACCCAGCAGCAGTGTTCTGGAAACCTATGTGAGTGACAAGCATTTGGAACACAGCAGTAGTGTTCTAGAATCCTTTTTTGAGGGACAAACATTCGTACCCTCGAAGCAGTGTTCTGGAATCCTAAGTGAGGGACACACACTGAGAAACGAGGAGCAGTCTTCTGGAATCCCATGTGAGGGACAAACACTCAGAACCCAGCAGGTGTGTTTTGAAATCCTAAGTAAGGGACAAACACTCAGAACCCAGCCACTGTGTTCTGGAATCCTATCTGAGGGACAAACATTCAGACACTTGTAGAAGTGCTCTGGAATCCTACGTGAGGACAAACACTCAGAAACCAGCAGCAGTGCTCAGCAATCCTTTGTGAGGGACAAACATTCAGAACACAGCAGGAGTGTTTTGGAATCCGATCTGAGTGACAAACACTCAGAACCCAGAAGCAGGTCTCTGGAATCCTATGTGAGGGACAAACACCAAGACCCAGCAGCAGTGTTTTGGAATCCTATGTGAGGGACAAACACTCAGAACCCAGCAGCAGTGCCCTGGAATCCTATGTGAGTGACAAACACTCAGAACCCAGCAGCAGTGTTCTAGAATCCTTTGTGAGGGACAAACACTCAGAACCCAGCAGCAGTGTTCTAGAATCCTTTGTGAGGGACAAACACTCAGAACCCAACAGCAGTATTCTGGAATCCTATGTGAGGGACAAACACTCAGAACTCAGCAGCAGTGTTCTAGAATCCTTTGTGAGGGACAAACACTCAGAACCCAACAGCAGTATTCTGGAATCCTATGTGAGGGACAAACAATCAGAACCCAGCCACTGTGTTCTGAAATCCTAGGTGGGGGACAAATATTCAGACACTCATAGAAGTGTTCTGGAATCCTATATGAGGGACAGACACTCAGAAACCAGCAGCAGTGTTCTGCAATCCTTTGTGAGGGACAAACATACAGAATACAGCAGCGGTGTTCTGGAATCCTATTTTAGGGACAACACTCAGAACCCAACAGCAGTGTTCTAGAATCCTTAGTGAGGGACAAACATTCAGAACCTCGGAGCTTTGTTCTGGTATCCCAAGTGAGGGACAAACACTCACATCCCAGTAGCAGTGTTCTGGAATCCTTGGTGATGGACAAACATTCAGAACCTCGAAGGAGTGTTCTGGAGTCCTATGTGCGATACAAACCTTCAGACCCCCGTAGCAGTGTTCTCGAATGCTATGTGACGGACAAACAATCAGAACCCAGCAGCCGTGTTCTGTAGTACTATGTGAGGGACAAACACTGAGAACCCTGCAGCAGTGGTCTGGAATCTTTTGTGAGGGACTTACATTCAGGCCTTCTTATCAGTGTTATGGAATCCTATGTGAGGGACCAACCCTCAGAACCCAGCAGCAGTGTGCTGGATTCCTTTCTGAGGCACAAACATTCAGAGCCTCGTAGCAGTGTTCTCGAATCCTATATGAGGGACAAACACCCCGAACCCAGCAGCGGTGTTTTGGAATCCTTTGTGAGAGAAAAACTTTCTGACCCTCAAAGCAGTGTTCTGGAATCCTATGTGACAGAGAAACACTCAAAACCCAGCAGCCGTGTTCTGGTATCCTACATGAGGGGCAAGCATTCAGACCATCATAGCAGTGTTCTGGAATCATATGTGAGAGACAAACATTCAGACCCTCGTAGCTGTGTTCTGCAATCCTATGAGAGGGAAAAACATTCAGAACCCAGCAGCAGTGTTCTGGAGTCCTTTGTGACGGACAAGCATTCAGACCCTTGTAGCAGTGTTCTGGAATCCTATGTGAGAGACAAATATTCAAACCTTCATATCAGTGTTCTGGATTTCTATGTGAGGGTCATACACTCAGAACCCAGCAGCAGTGTTCTGGAATCCTATCTGAGGGAGTAACATTCAGACCCTTGCATCAGAGTTCTGGGATCCTATGTGAGGGACAAACACTCAGAAACTAGCAGCAGTGTTCTGGAATCCTATGTGAAGGACAAACACTCAGAACCCAGCAACAGTGTTCTGGAATCCCATGTGAGGGACTAGCATTCAGACCATCGTAGCAATGTTCTGGAATGCTATGTTGCGGAGAATCCTTAAGACCGTCGTACCAGTGTTCTGGAATCCTATGAGAGGGACAAACAATCAGAACCCAGTAGCAGTATTCCGGAATCCTTTTTGAGGGACAAACACTCGGAACCCAGCAGCAGTGTTCTGGAATCCTATGTGTGGGACAAACTCTCATATCCCAGCAGCAGTGTTCCAGATTGCTATGTAAGGGACAAACACTGAGAACACGGCAGCAGAGTTCTGGAATCCTTTGTGAGGAACAAAGTTTCAGACCCTCATAGCAGTGTTCTGGAATAAGATGTGAGGCTCACTCAGAACCCAGAAAAATTGTCCTAGAATCCTATGTGAGTGACAGAAACTCAGAACCCAGCAGCAGTGTTCTGGAATCCTTTGTGAGGGACAAACATTCAGAACCACGGAGAAGTTTTCTGGAATACTATGTGAGGGTAAACACCAAGAACCCAGGAGCAGTTTCTCGAAAATGATGTGAGGGAAAAGCTTTCAGACCTTTGTACCAGTGTTCTGGAATCCGATGTGAGGGACAAATATTCAGAACCTTGTAGCAGTGTTCTGTAATCCTAAGTGAGGGACAATTACTCAGAACCCAGCAGCAGTGTTCTGGAATCCTTTGTGAGGGACATAGATTCAGACCCTCTTAGCAGTATTCTCTAATCCTATGTGAGTGACAAACATTCAGACACTCGTAGCAGTGTTCTGGAAACCTATATGTAGGACAAACACTCAGAACCCAGCAGCAGTGTTCTGGAATCCTATTTGATTGGCAAAGACACAGAACCCATCAGCAGTGTTCTGGAAAACCAGCAGCAGAGTTCTGGAATCCTATGTGAGGGAGAAATCCTCAGAATCCACCAGTGTGTTTTGGAATCCATTGTGAAGGACACACATTCAGACCCTCCTAGAAGTGTTCTGGAATCCTATGTGAGTGACAAACTTTGAGACCCTTGTAGAAGTGTTCAGGAATCATATGTGAGTGGCAAACACTAAGAACCGAGCAGAAGTGTTCCGGAATCATATTTGATTGACAAACACACAGAACCCCGCAGCAGTGTTCTGGAATCCTTTGTGAAGGAAAAACCTTCAGAAACTTGTAGCAGTGTTCTGGAATCCAATGTGAGGGAGAAACACTGAGAACCCAACAGCAGTGTTCTGGAATCCTATGAGAGGGTCAAACACTCAGAACCCAGCAGCAGTGTTCTGGTATCCTATGTTATGGACAAACACTCAGAACCCAGCAGCAGTGTTCTGGAATCCTATGTGATGGACAAAGACACAGAACCCAGGAGCAATATTCTAGAATCTTTTGTGAGGGACAAACACTCAGAACCCCGCAGCAGTGTTCTGTAATCCTTTAGGAGGGAAAAACTTTCACACCCTCCTAACAGTGTTCTGGAATCCTAGGTGAGGGAAAAACATTCAGACACTCCTACCATTGTTTTGGAAGACAATATGAGGGCAACCACTCAGAACCCAGCAGCAGTTTCCTGGAAACCTTTATGAGGGATAAACATTCAGAACCTCGTAGCAGTGTTTTGCAATCTTATGTGAGAGACAAACACTAGAACCCAGCAGCAGTGTTCTGGAATCCTATGAGAGGGAGAAACACTCAGAACCCAGCAGCAGTGTTCTGGAATCCTATGTGAGTGACAAACTTTCTGAATTTCGTAGCAGTGCTCTGGAATTCTCTGTGAGGGACAATCACTGAGAAATCAGCAGCAGTGTTCTGGAATTCTATGTGAGGGACAAAAATTCAGACCCTCCTAACAGTGTTCTGGAATCCTATGTGAGGTACAAATCCTCAGAACCTAGCAGCAATGTTCTAGAATCCTTTGTGAGGGACAAACAGAAACCAACCGAAGTGTTCTAGAATCCTTTGTGAAGGACAAACATGCAGAACCTCGTAGCAGTGTTCTGGAATTCTATGTGAGGGACAAACACTCAGTATCCAGCCACATTGTACTGGAATCCTATCTGAGAGCAAACATTCCGAACCTCGTCACAGTGTTCTGGAATCCTATGTGAGGGACAAACACTAAGAATTCTGCAGCAGTGCCCTGGAATTCTTTGTGTGGGACCAAAAAACATAACCCAGTTGCAGTGTTCTAAAATCCTTTGTGAGGTAAAAACATTCAGATCCTCGTAGCAGTGTTCTGGGATCCTATCTGAGGGACAAATACTCAGAATCCAGCCACTGTGTACTGGAATAATATATGAGTGCAAACATTCAGAACCTCATAGAAGTGTTCTGGAATCGTATGTGAGGGATAAACACTAAGACATCTGCAGCAGTGCTCTGGATTCCTTTGTGAGGGACAAGCAAACAGAACCCAGTAGCAATGTCCTACAATCCTCTGTGAGAGAAAAACATTCAGAACCTCGTAGCAGTGTTCTGGAATCCTATGTGAGGGAAAAACATTCAGACCCTCGAAGCTGTGATCTGGAATCCTACCTGAGGGACAAACACTCAGAACCCAGCAGCAGTGTTCTGGAATCCTTTAGGAGGGAAAATATTCACACCCTCATAACAGTGTTCTGGAATCCTATGTGAGGGAAAAACATTCAGACACTCGTAGCATTGTTCTGGAATCCAATATAAGGGCAAACACTCAGAACCCAGTAGCAGTGTTCTGGAAAACTTTGTGAGGGATAAACACTCAGAACCCAACAGCAGTGTATTGGAATCCTATGTGAGGAACAAACACTCAGAATCCAGAAGCAGTGTTCTGGAATCCTATGAGTGAAACAAACACTCACAACCCAGCAGCAGTGTTCTGGAATCCCATGCGAGCGACAAACTTTCTGAACTTCCTAGCAGTGTTCTGGAATTCTATATGAGGGACAAACTCTGAGAAGCCAGCAGCAGTGTTCTTGAATCCTAAGTGAGGGACAAACACTCAGAACCCAGCAGCAGTGTTCTGGAATCCTATGAGAGTGACAAACACTCAGAACCCATCAGCAGTGTTCTAGAATCCTTTGTGAGGGACAAACACTCAGAACCCAGCATCATTGTTCTAGAATCCTTTGTGAGAGTCAAACATTCAGAACCTGGTAACAGTGTTCTGGAATCCTATGTGAGGGACAAACACTCAGAATCCAGCCATTGTGTACTTGAATTCTAGCTGAGGGCAAACATTCAGAACCCCATAGAAGTGTTCTGGAATCCTATGTGTGGGACAAACTCTAAGAAATCTGCAGCAGTGCTCTGGAATCCATTGTGAGGGGCAAACAAACATAACCCAGTAGCAGTGTTCTACAATCCTTTCTGAGGGAAAGACATTCAGACCATCTTAGCAGTGTTCTTGAATCCTATGTGAGGGAAAAGCATTCAGACCCTCGTTGCAGTGATTTGGAATCCTATATGTGGGACAAACACTCAGAATCCAGCAGTAATCTTCTGGAATCCTTTGGTAGGGAAAAACATTCAAACTATAGAAACAGTGTTCTGGAAACCTATGTGATGGAAAGACATTCGGGCCCTCTTGGTATTGTTCTGGAATCCAATATGAGGGACAAATGCTAACAACTCAGTAGCAGTGATCTGAAACACTTTGTGACTGATAAACATTCAGACCCTTGTAGCACTGTTCTGGAATCTTATGTGAGGGACAAACACTCAGAACGCTGCAGCAGTGTTCTGGAATCCTATGTGTGTGACAAACTTTCAGAACATCGTAGCAGTGTTGTGGATTTCTATGTCATGGACAAACACTCAGATGGCAGTGAGGGACAAACACTCAGAAACCAACAGCAGTGTTCTGGAATCCTATGTGATGGACAAACACACAGAATCCAGCAGCAGTGTTCTAGAATCCTTTGTGAGGGACAAACACTCAGAACTCAGCAGAAGTGTTCTAGAATACTTTGTGAGGGACAAACATTCAGAACCTCGTAACACTGTTCTGGAATCCTATGTGAGAGGCAAACACTCAAAATCCAACCACTGTGTACTGGAATGCTATCTGAGGCTAAACATTCAGAACCTCGGAGAAGTGTTCTGGAATCCTAAGTGAGGGACACACACTAAGAAATCTGTGGCAGTGTTCTGGAATCTTTTCTGAGGACAAACTAAAAGAACTCAGTAGCAGCATTGTACAATCCTTTGTGAGGGAAAAATATTCAGACCTTGTAGCAGTCTTCTGGAATCCTATGTGAGGGAAAAACATTCAGACCCTCGCTGCAGTGTTCTCAAATCCAACATGAGGGACAAACACTCAGAACCCAGTAGCATTGTTCTGGAAACCTTTGTGAGGGATAAACATTCCGACCCTCGTAGCAGTGTTCTGGAATCCTAAGTGAGGGACAGACACTCAGAACCAAGCAGCAGTGTTCTGAAATCCTATGTAAGCGACACAGTTTCAGAATTTCATAGCGGTGTTCTGGAATTCTATGTGAGGAATAAACACTCAGAAGCCAGCTGCAGTGTTCTGGAATCCAACGTGAGGGACAAACATTCAGAACCCAGCAACAGTGTTCTCGAATCCTATGTGAGGGACTAACCCAGAGAACACAGCAGCACTCTTCTAGAATCCTTTGTGAGGGAACAAACACTCAGAACCCAGAAGCAGTGTTCTAGAATCCTTTGTGAGGGAAAAACAATCAGAATCTCGTAGAAGTGTTCTAGAATCCTATGTGAGGGACAAACACTCAGAATCCAGAGGCTGTGTACTGGAATCCTACTTGAGGGCAAACATTCAGAACCTCGGAGAATTGTTCTGGTATCCTATGTGAGGGACAAACCCTAAGAAATCTGGAGCATCGCTCTGTAATCCTTTGTGAGGGACAAACAAACAGAACCCAGGTTCAGTGTTCTACAATGCTTTGTGAGGGAAAAACATTCAGACTCTCGTAGCAGTGTTCTGGAATCCTTTTTGAGGAACAAACACTCACAACCTAGCAGCAGTGTTCCGGTATCCTTTGGTTGGGAAAAACATTCACACGCTCATAACAGTGTTCTGGAATCCTATTTGAGGAACAAAAACTCAGAACCCAGCAGCAGTGCTCTGGAATCCTATATGGGGGACAGACACTCAGAATCCAACAGCAGTTTGGTGGAATCTCATGTGAGAGACAAACTTTCAGAACTTCATAGCAGTGTTCTGGAATTCTATGTGAGGGACAAATGCACAGAACCCAGCAGCAGTATTCTGGAATCCTAGGTGACCGACAAACACTCAGAATCCAGCAGCAGTGTTCTGGAGTCCAATGTGAGGGACAAACACTCAGAACCCAGCAGCAGTGTTCTAGAATCCTTTGTGAGGGACAAGCATTCATAACCTCGTAACAGTGTTCTGGAATCCTATGTGAGGGACAAAAACTCATAATCCAGCCACTGTGTACTGGAATCCAATCTGAGGGCAAACATTCAGTACCTTGTAGAAGTTTTCTGGATTCCTATGTAAGGGAGAAACACTAAGAAATCAGCAGCAGTTCTCTTGAATACTTTGTGAGGGATAAACAAACAGAACCCAGTAGCAGTGTTCTACAATCCTTTGTGAGGGAAAGACATTCAGAACCTCGTAGCAGTGTTTTGGAATACTACGTGTGGGAAAAACATTCAGACCCTCGTAGCAGGATTCTGGCATCCTATATGAGGGACAAACACTCAGAACCTAGAAGCAGTGTTCTGGAGTCATTTGGAAAGGAAAAATTTCACACCCTCGTAACCATGTTCTGGAATCACATGCGAGGGAAAAACATTCAGACCCTCGTAGTATTGTTCTGGAATCCAATATGAGGGAGAAACACTCAGAACCCAGCAGCAGTGTTCTGGAAGCCTTTGTGAGGGATAAACTCTCAGACCCTCGTAGCACTGTTCTGGAATCCCATGTAAGGGACAAACACTCAGAACCCAGCAGCAGTGATCTGGAATCCTATATGAGGGAAAACCACTCAGAACACAGCAGCAGTGTTCTGGAATCTTATGTCAGCGACAAACTTTCAGAACTTCGTAGCAGTATTCTGGAATTCTATGTGAGGGACAAACACTCAGAAGCCAGCAGCAGTGTTCTAGAATACTATGTGTGTTATAAACACTCAGAACCCAGCAGCAGTGTTCTGGAATCCTATATGAGGGACACACCCTCAGAACCCAGCAGCAGTATTCTAGAATCCTTTGTGAGGGACAAGCACTCAGAACCCAGCAGCAGCGTTCTGGAATCCTTTGTGAGAAAGAAACACTCAAAACCCAGCAGCAGTTTTCTAGAATCCTTTTTGAGGGACTAACATTCAGAACCTCCTAGCAGTGCTCTGGAATCATATGTGAGGGACAAACATTCTGAATCCAGCATCAGTGTTCTGGAATCCCATGTGAGGGACAAGTGCTCAGAACCCAGCAGCAGTGTTCTGGAATCCTATGTGAGGTACAACAGTCAGAACCCAGCAGCTGTGCTCTGGAATCCTATGTGAGGGACAAACACTCAAAACCCAGCAGCAGGGTTCTGGTATCCCATGTGCGGGACAAACACTCAGAATCCAGCAGTAGTGTTCTGGAATCCTTTGTGATAGACAAACATTCAGACTCTCATAGGTGTGTTCTGGACTCGTATGTGAGGGACAAACCCTCAGAAACCAGCAGCAGTGTTCTGGAATCCTATGTGAGTGAAAAACAATCAGAACCCAGCAGCAGTGTTCTAGTTTCCTTTATGAGGAACAAAATTTCAGACCCTCGAAGAAGTGTTCTGGAATCGTATGTGAGGGAGAAACACTCAGATCCCAGCAGCAGTGTTCTACAATCCTTTGTGAGGGAAAAGCACTCGGAACCCAGCAGCATTGTTTTAGAATACTCTGTGAGGGACTAACATTCAGAACATCCTAGCAGTGTTCTGGAATCCCTTGTGAGCAACAAACACCCTCATCCCTGCAGCAGTGTTTTGGAATCCCACGTGAGGGACAAACACTCAGAACCCAGCAAGTGGGTTCTGGAATGCTATCTGAGGGACAAACTTTCAGATGATCGTAGACGTGTTCTGGAATCCTATGTGTGGGACAAAAACTCAGAACCCAACAGCAGTGCTCGGGAATCCTTTGTGAGAGACAAACATACAGAACCGAGAAGCAGGCTTTTGGAATCCTATGTGAGTGACAAACTCTCAGAAACCAGCAACAGTGTTCTGGAATGCTATGTGACGGACAAACACTCAGACCCAGCAGCTGTGTTTTGGAATCCTGTGTGAGGGACAAACCCTCAGAACTCAGCACCAGTGTTCTGGAATCCCATGTGAGTGACAACCATTCAGAACGCAGCAGCAGTGTTCTGGAATCCTATGTGAGGGACAAACACTCAGATCCCAGCAGCAGTGTCCTAGAATCCTTTGTGAGGGACAAACACTCAGAACCCAGCAGCAGTTTTCTAGAATCATTTTTGAGAGACAAACATTCAGAACATCTTAGCAGTGTTCTGAAATCCTATGTGAGTGAAAAACTCTCAGAATCCAGTAGCAATATTCTGGAATCCTATGTGAGGGACTAACACTGAGAACCCAGCTGCAGTGTTCTGGAATCCCATGTGAGGGACAACCCCTCAGAACCCAGCAGCAGTGTTCTGGAATCCTATGTCAGTGACAAACACTCATAACCCAGCAGAAGTGTTCTGGAATCTTATTTAAGGGACAAACACTCAGGACCCAGAGCAGTGTTCTAGAATCTTTGTGAGGGACAAACGCTCAGTACCCAGCCACTGTGTTCTGGAATCCTATATGAGGAACAAACACTCACAACACAGCAGCAATGTTCTAGAATCGTTTGTGAGGGACAAAAATTCGGAATCTCGTAGCAGTGTTCTGGAATCATATGTGAGGAACAAACACCCTGAACCCAGCAGCGGTGTTTTGTAATACCATGTGAGGGACAAACACTCAGAAATCAGCAGCAGTGTTCTAGAATCCTTTGTCAGGGACAAACCTGCAGACCCTCGAAGCAGTGTTCTGGAATCATATGTGAGGGACAATCACTCAGAACACAGTGGCTGGGTTCGGGAATCCAATGTTAGGGACAAATCCTCAAAACCCAGCAGTAGTGTTCCGGAATCCTGTGTGAGGGACAAACATTCAGAACCCAGCCACTGTGTTCTGGAATACTACCTGAGGAACAAATTTCAGACACTCGTAGAAGTGTTTTGGAATCCTATGTGAGGGACAAACATTCAGAACACAGTAGTTGTCTCCTGGAATCCTATGTGCGGGACAAACACTCAGAACCCAGCAGCAGTGTTCTGGAATCCTATGTGAGAGACACTCAGAACCCAGAAGCAGTGTTCTGGAAGTCCCATGTGAGGGATAAACACTCCGAACCCAGCAGTAGTTTTCTGGAATCCTATGTGAGTGACACACAGGAACCAGCAGCAGAGCTCTAGATTCCTTTGTGAGGGACAAACATTGGGACCCTTGAAGCTATGTTCTGAAATCCTATGTGAGGGACAAACACTCAGAACCCAGCAGCAGTGTTCTGGAATCCTTTGTGATGGACAAACATTCAGACCGTCCTAGAAGTGTTCTGAAATCCTATGTGAGGGACAAACACTCAGAACCCAGCAGCAGTGTTCTGGAATCCTTTGTGATGGACAAACATTCAGACCGTCCTAGAAGTGTTCTGAAATCCTATGTGAGGGACAAACACTCAGAACCCAGCAGCAGTGTTCTGGAATCCTTTGTGATGGACAAACATTCAGACCGTCCTAGAAGTGTTCTGGAATCATATGTGAGGGACAAACTCTCAGAACCCAGCAGCAGTGTTCTGGAATCCTATGTGAGGGACAAACACTCAGAAAATGGCAGCAGTGTTTTGGAATCCTGTGTGATCGAGAAAGATTCAGAAATTCGTAACAGTGTTCTGGAATCCCATGTGAGGGCTAAACACTCAGAACCCTGCAGCAGTGTTCTGGAATCCTATGTGAGGGAAAAACACTCACAACCCAGCAGCAGTGTTCTCAAATCGTATGTGAGGGACAACACTCATAACCCACCAGCAGTGTTCTGGAATCCTCTGTTTGGGACAAACATTCAGAAACTCATAGCAGTGTTCTGGATTCGTATGTGAGGGAGAAACACTCCGAACCCAACATCAGTATTTTGGAATTCCATGTGAGTGACAAACACTCAGAACCCAGCATCTCTGTTCTGGAATCCTATGTCGGGGACAAACACTCAGAACCCAGCAGCAGTGTTCTGGAACCCTATATGAGGTAAAAACCCTCAGAACCCAGCAGCAGTGTATCATAATCCTGTGTGAAGGACAAAGATTCAGAATTCGTAGCAGTGTTCTGGAACCCTATGTGAGGTAAAAACCCTCAGAACCCAGCAGCAGTGTATCATAATCCTGTGTGAAGGACAAAGATTCAGAATTCGTAGCAGTGTTCTGGAATCCCATGTGAGGGACAAACACTCAGAACCCAGCCGCAGTGTTCTGGAATCCTATGTGAGGGACAAACAATCAGAAACCAGCAGCAGTGTTCTGGAATCCTATGTGAGAGACAAACATTCAGACACTCATAGAATTGTTCTGGAATCCTACGTGATTGAAAAACACGCAGAAGCCAGCAGCTGTGCTCTGGAATCATTTCAGCGGAAAAACAAACAGAACCAGCCGCAGTGTTGTGCAATCACTTGTGTGGGAAAAACATTCAGACACTCGTAGCAGTGTTCTGGAATCCTATGTGATGGAAAAACTCTCAGAACCTATCAGCAGTGTTCTGGAATCCTATGTGAGAGACAAACACACAGAATACAGCAACAGTGTTCTGGAATCCTATGTGAGCGACAAACATTCAGAACTTCGTAGCAATGTTCTGGAATCCTATGTGAGGGACAAACACTAAAAACCCTGCCACTGTTCTGGAATCCTATCGGAGGGACAAACATTCAGACACTAGTAGAATTGTTCTGGAATCCTACGTGAGGGACAAACACTCAGAATCCAGCAGCAGTGCTCTGGAGTCCTTTGTGAGGGACAAATAAACAGAACCCAGCAGCAGTGTTCTGGAATCCATTCTGAGAGAAAAACATTAAGACCCTCCTAACAGTGTTCTGGAATCCTATGGGAGGGACAAACACTCAGGACGCAGCAGCAGTGTTTTGGAATCTCGTGTGAGCTGCAAAGATTCAGAATTTCATAGCAGTGTTCACGAATCCAATGTGAGGGACAAACACTCAGAACCCAGCAGCAGTGTTCTGGAATCCTATGGGAGGTACAAACACTCAGAACCCAGCGGCAATGTTCTGTAATCCTATGTGAGGGACAAACACTCAGAACCCAGCAGCAGTGCTCTGTAATCCTTTGTGACGGACAAACAAACAGAACCCAGCAGCAGTGTTCTGGAATCCTATGTGAGGGACAAGCACTCAGAACCCAGCAGTAGTGTTCTGGAATCCTTTGTGAGGGACAAACATTCATAACCTCGTAGCAGTGTTCTGAAATCCTATGTGAGAGACAAACACTCAAAACCCAGCCACTGTGTTCTGGAATCATATGTGAGCGACAAACACTCAGGCACTCGAAACAGTGTTCTGGAGTCATATGTGAAGGACAAACATTCAGAACCCAGAAGCAGTGTTCTGGAATCCTTTGTGATGGACAAACTTTTAGACCCTCATAGGTGTGTTCTAGGATCCCATGTGAGATACAAACACTCAGAACCCAGTATCAGCGTTCTGGAATCCTATGTGAGGGATAAACACTCAGAACGCAGCAGCAGTGTTCTGAAATCTTGTGTGAGGGACAAACACTCAGAACCCAGCAGCAGTGTTCTGGAATCCTATGTGAGGGACAAACACTCAGAACGCAGCCACTGTGTTCTGGAGTACTATCTGAGAGACAAACATTCAGACACTCCTAGAATTGTTCTGGAATCCTACGTGAGGGCCAAACACTGAGAAACCAGCAGTGGTGCTGTGGAATCCTTTGTGAGGAAAAACAAAGAGAACCCAACAGCAGTGTTCTGGAATCCTTTGTGAGGGACAATCTCTCAGAACCCAGCAGCAGTCTTCTGGAATCTCATGTGAGGGACAAACACTCAGAACCGAGCAACAGTGTTCTACAATCCTTTGTGAGGGACAAACCTTCAGACACTCGAAGCAGTGTTCTGGAATCCTATGTGAGGGACAAACACTCAAAACTCAGCAACAGTGCTCTGTAATCCTTTGTGAGGAACAAAGAAACAGAACACAGTGGCAGTGTTCTGGAATCCTATGTGAGGGACAAACACTCAGAACCCAGCCACTGTGCTCTGGAATCCTACCTGAGGGACAAACATTCAGACACTCGTAGAAGTGCTATGGAATCCCATGTGAGGGTCAAACACTAAGAAACATGTAGCGGTTGTCTGGAATCCCTTGTGAGAGACAAACAGAACCCAGCAGCAGTGTTCTGGAATCGTTTGTGAGGGAAAAACATTCAGAACCTCCTAGCAGTGTTCTGGAGTCCTATATGAGGGAGAAACACTCAGAACTGAGCAGCAGTGTTCTGGAATCAGATGTGAGGGACAAGCATTCAGAACCCAACAGCAGTGTTCTAGAATCCTTTGTGAGGGACAAACCTTCAGAGACCCGAAGAAGTGTACTGGAATCCTAGATGAGGGACAAACACTCAGAAACCATCAGCAGTGCTCTGTAATCCTTTGTGCGGGACTAACGAACAGAACCCAGCAGAAGTGTTCCGGAATCCTATGTGAGGGACAAACTCTCAGAACCCGGCAGCAGTGTTGTGGAGTCTATTGTGAGGGACAAACTCTCAGAACCTCCTAGCAGTGTTCTGGAATCCTATGTGAGGGACAAACACTCTGAACCCAGCAGCAGTTTTCTGGTATCCTATGTGAGGGACAAACACTGAGAACCCAGCACCCATGTTTCGGAATCCTATGTGAGGGACAAACACTCAGAAACCAGCAGCATTGCTCTGGATTCCTAAGTGAGAGACAAACACTCAGAACCCAGCAGCAGTGCTCTGTAATCCTTTGTGAGGGACAAACAAACAGAACCCAGCAGCAGTGTTCTGGAATCCTATGTGAGGAACAAACACTCAGAACCCAGCAGAAGTGTTCTGGAATCCTGTGTGAGGGACAAACCTTCAGAACCTCTTAGCAGTTTTCTGAAATTCTGTGTGAGTGACAAACACTCTTAACCCAGCAGAAGTGTTCTGGAATCCCATGTGAGGAACAAACACTCAGAACCCAGCAGCCATGTTCTGGAATCCTATATCAGTGAGAAACACTCAGAACCCAGCAGCAATGTTGCAGAATCCTTTGTGAGGGACAAACATTCAGACACTCGAAGCAATGTTCTGGAATCCTATGTGAGGGACAAACAGTCCGAACCCAGCAGCAGTGTTCTGGAATCCTTTGTTAAGGACAAACATTCAGACACTCGTAGCAGTGTTCTGGCATCCTATGTGAGGGGCAAACACTCAGAACCCTATAGCAGTGTTCTGGAATCCTATGTGAGGGATAAACACTCAGAATCCAGCAGCAGTGTTGTGGAATTCTATGTGAGGGACACACACTCAGAACCCAGCAGAAGTGTTCTGGAATCCTATGGAGGGACAAACACTCAGAACCCAGCAGCAGCGTTCCGGAATCCTATGTGATGGACAAACACTCTGAACCAACCAGCAGTGTTCTGGAATCCCATGTGAGGGACAAACACTCAGAACCCAGCAGCCGTGGTCTGGAATCCTATGTCAGGGACAAACACTCAGAACCCAGCAGCAGTGTTTTGGAATCCTGTGTGAGCGACAAAGATTCAGAACTTAGTAGCAGTGTTCTGGAATCTCAGGTGCGGGACAAACACTCAGAACCCAGTGGCAGTGTTGTGGAATCCTATGTTGGGGACAAACACTCAGAACCCAGCAGAAGTGTTCTGGAGTCTTATGGGAGGGACAAACAGTCAGAACCCAGCCGCTGTTTTCTGGAATCCTATCAGAGAGACAAACATTCAGGCACTCATATAAGTGTTCCGGAATCCTATGTGTTGGAAAAACACCCAGAAACCAGCAGCTGTGTTTTGGAATCCTTTGTGAGGATAAACAAACAAAGCCAGCAGCAGTGTTCTGGAATCGTTTGTGAGGGAAAAACATTCAGATCCCCGTAGCAGTGTTCTGGAATCCTATGTGAGGGACAAACTCTCAAAACCCAGCAACAGTGTTCTGGAATCCTATGTGAGGAATAAAAGCACAGAACACAGCAGCAGTGTTCTTCAATCCTATGTGAGTGACAAATATTCAAAACTTAATAGCAGTGTTCTGGAATCTTATGTAAAAGACAAGCACTCAAAGCACAGCCACTGTGTTCTGGAATCTTATCT